>NC_000017.11:26243334-26404983 GCF_000001405.40 Homo sapiens | reverse complement strand
ACATATCCACTTGCAGGTTCCACAAAAAGAGAGTTTCAACACTGCTCTATCCATAGGAGGGTTCAACTCTGTGAGTTGAATGCAATCATCACAGAGAAGTTTCTGAGAAGGCTTCTCTCCAGTTTTTATGTGACCATAATTCGTTTTCCACCACAGGCCTGAAAGCGCTCCAAATGTCCACTTGCAGACACTACGAAAAGCATGTTTCAGAACTACTCTATGAAAAGCAACGTGAAACTCTGGGAGTTGAACACAAACATCACAGAGAAGTTTCTGAGAATGCTTCTGTTTTAGTTCTGTGCGTTTTATCCCGTTTCCAACGAAATCCTCAGAGAGGCCCAAATATCCACTTGCAGATTCCACAGAAAGAGTGATTGGAAACTGCTGTTTGAAAAGGAACCTTCAACTCTGTGAGTTGAATGCAATCATCACAAAGAAGTTTCTGACAATGCTTCTATCTAGCTTTTACGGGAAGATAATTCCTTTTCCACCACAGGCCTCAAAGCCCTCCAAATGTCCACTTGCAGATTCTGGAAAAAGAGTGTTTCAAAGCTTCTCTCTCGAAAGGAAAGTTCAACTCTGTGAGTTGAATGCAAGCATCACAAAGAAGTTTCTGAGAATGCTACTGTCTAGCTTTTATATGAAGCTATTTCCTTTACTACCATAGGCCTCAAAGCGGTCCATATCTCCACTTGCAGATTCTACACAAAGAGAGTTTCCAAACTGCTCTGTCAAAGGGAATGTTCAACTCTGTGACTTGAATGCAATCATCACGAAGTAATTTCTAAGAATGCTTCTGTTTAGTTCTGTGCGGTTTATCCCGTTTCCAACGAAATCCTCAGAGAGGCCCCAATATCCACTTGCACATTCTACAAATAGTGTGTTTCGAAACTGCTCCATCCAAAGCGATGTTCAGCTCTGTGAGTTAAACTCAGTCGTCACCAAGAGTTTTCTGTGAATGCTTCTGTTTAGTTCTGTGCGGTTTATCCCGCTTCCAACGAAATCCTCACAGAGGACCAAATATCCACTTGCAGTTTCTACAAAAAGAGTGTTTCAAAGCTGAACTATCAAAGAAAGGTTCAGCACTGTGATTTGAATGCAAACATCACGAAGAAGGTTCTGAGAATGCTTCTGTCTTCTTTTTATAGGAAGTTATTTCCTTTACTACGGTAGGCCTCAAAGAAGTGCAATTATCCCCTTGCAGTTTCTACAAAAAGAGTGTTTCAAAGCTGAACTATCAAAGAAAGCTTCCACACTGTGAGTTGAATGCAGACATCACGAAGAAGGTTCTGAGAATGCTTCTGTTTAGTCAGCTGAAATTATCCCGTTTCCAACGAATTCCTCACAGAGGTCCACATATGCACTTGCAGATTCTGCAGAAAGTGTGTTTCTAAACTGCTACATCGCAAGGAATGCTCAGCTCTGTGAGTTCAACTCAATCATCCCAAAGAATTTTCTGAGAAAGCTTCTGTCTAGATGTCGTGTGAAGATATACCCGTTTCGAACGAAGGACACAGAGTGGTCCAAATATCCACTTGTAGATCCTGCAAAAAGAGTGTTTCAAACGTGAACTTTGAAAGGAAAGTTCAACTCTGGGATTTGAATGCAAACATCACAAAGAAGATTCTGAGACTGCTTCTGTATAGTTTTTATGTGAAGATGATTCCGTTTCCAACGAAATCTTCAAAGAGGTCTACATGTCCCCTTGCAGATGCCACAGAAAGAGAGTTTCAAAACTGCGCTCTCAAAAGGAGTGTTCAACTCCGTGAGTTGAATGCAGTCATCACAGAGAAGCTTCTGAGAATGCTTCTATCTAGTATTTAGGTGAAGATATTTCCTTTTCCACCACAAACCACAAAGCCCTCCAAACGTCCACTTGCAGATTCTAGAAAAAGAGTGTTTCATAGCTGCTCTTTCCAAAGGAAAGTTCAACTCTGGGAGTTGAATACAAACATCACCAAAAAGTTCCTGAGAATGCATCTGTCTAGTTTTTCTATGAAGCTATTCCCTTTACTACCACAGGCCTCAAAGCGCTCCAAATCTCCACTTGCACATTCCACAACAAGAGTGTTTCCAAACTGCTCTATCAATAGGAATGTTCAACTCTGTGAGGTGAATGCAATCATCACAAAGCAGTTTCTGAGAATGCTTCCGTTTAGTTAGGTGCAGTTATCCCGTTTCCAACGAAATCCTCAGAGAGGTCCAAATATCCACTTGTAGATTCTACAAAAAGTGTGTCTCAAACCTGCTCCATCCAAAGGAATGGTCAGCTCTGTGATTTAAACTCAATCATCACAAAGTATTTTCTGAGAATGCTTCTGTCTAGATTTTATGCGAAGATGTACCCGTTTCGAACGAAGGCCACAGAGTGGTCCAAATATCCACTTGCAGATCCTACAAAAAGAGTGTTTCAAACCTGAACTATCAAAGGAAGGTTCAACTCTGGGATTTGAATGCAAACATCACCAAGAAGTTTCTGAGAATGCTTCTGTTTAGTTTTTATGTGAAGATATTCCCGTTTCCAAAGACATCTTCGGAGAGGTCCACATATCCACTTGCAGATTCCACAAAAAGAGAGTTTCAACACTGCTCTATCCATAGGAGGGTTCAACTCTGTGAGTTGAATGCAATCATCACAGAGAAGTTTCTGAGAAGGCTTCTCTCCAGTTTTTATGTGACCATAATTCGTTTTCCACCACAGGCCTGAAAGCGCTCCAAATGTCCACTTGCAGACACTACGAAAAGCATGTTTCAGAACTACTCTATGAAAAGCAACGTGAAACTCTGGGAGTTGAACACAAACATCACAGAGAAGTTTCTGAGAATGCTTCTGTTTAGCTTTCCTGTGAAGATTCTCCCGTTTCCAACGAAATCTTCAAAATAGGTCCAAATATCCACTTGCAGATTCCACAGAAAGAGTGATTGGAAACTGCTCTTTGAAAAGGAACCTTCAACTCTGTGAGTTGAATGCAATCATCACAAAGAAGTTTCTGACAATGCTTCTATCTAGCTTTTACGGGAAGTTAATTCCTTTTCCACCACAGGCCTCAAAGCCCTCCAAATGTCCACTTGCAGATTCTGGAAAAAGAGTGTTTCAAAGCTTCTCTCTCGAAAGGAAAGTTCAACTCTGTGAGTTGAATGCAAGCATCACAAAGAAGTTTCTGAGAATGCTACTGTCTAGCTTTTATATGAAGCTATTTCCTTTACTACCATGGGCCTCAACGCGGTCCATATCTCCACTTGCAGATTCTACACAAAGAGAGTTTCCAAACTGCTCTGTCAAAGGGAATGTTCAACTCTGTGACTTGAATGCAATCATCACAAAGTAGTTTCTGAGAATGCTTCTGTTTTAGTTCTGTGCGGTTTATCCCGTTTCCAACGAAATCCTCAGAGAGGCCCAAATATCCACTTGCAGATTCTACAAATAGTGTGTTTCGAAACTGCTCCATCCAAAGGAATGTTCAGCTCTGTGAGTTAAACTCAGTCGTCACCAAGAGTTTTCTGTGAATGCTTCTGTTTTAGTTCTGTGCGGGTTATCCCGTTTCCAACGAAATCCTCAGAGAGGTCCAAATATCTACTTGCAGTTTCTACAGAAAGACCGTTTCAAACCTGAACTATCAAAGAAAGGTTCAACACTGTGAGTTGAATGCAAACATCACGAAGAAGGTTCTGAGAATGCTTCTGTTTAGTTCTGTGCGTTTTATCCCGTTTCCAACGAAATCCTCAGAGAGGACCAAATATCCACTTGCAGTTTCTACAAAAAGAGTGTTTCAAAGCTGCACTATCAAAGAAAGGTTCAGCACTGTGAGTTGAATGCAAACATCACGAAGAGGGTTCTGAGAATGCTTCTGTCTTCTTTTTATAGGAAGTTATTTCCTTTACTACGGTAGGCCTCAAACAAGTGCAGCTATCCCCTTGCAGTTTCTACAAAAAGAGTGTTTCAAACCTGAACTATCAAAGAAAGGTTCCACACTGTGAGTTGAATGCAGACATCACGAAGAAGGTTCTGAGAATGCTTCTGTTTAGTCAGCTGAAATTATCCCGTTTCCAACGAATTCCTCAGAGAGGTCCAAATATGCACTTGCAGATTCTGCAGAAAGTGTGTTTCTAAACTGCTACATCGCAAGGAATGTTCAGCTCTGTTGAGTTCCACTCAATCATCCCAAAGAATTTTCTGAGAAAGCTTCTGTGTAGATGTCATGTGAAGATATACCCGTTTCGAACGAAGGACACAGAGTGGTCCAAATATCCACTTGTAGATCCTGCAAAAAGAGTGTTTCAAGCGTGAACTTTGAAAGGAAAGTTCAACTGTGGGATTTGAATGCAAACATCACAAGGAAGATTCTGAGACTGCTTCTGTATAGTTTTTATGTGAAGATGATTCCGTTTCCAACGAAATCTTCAAAGAGGTATACATGTCCCCTTGCAGATGCCACAGAAAGAGAGTTTCAAAACTGCGCTCTCAAAAGGAGTGTTCAACTCCGTGAGTTGAATGCAGACATCACAGAGAAGCTTCTGAGAATGCTTCTATCTAGTATTTAGGTGAAGATATTTCCTTTTCCACCACAAACCACAAAGCCCTCCAAACGTCCACTTGCAGATTCTAGAAAAAGAGTGTTTCATAGCTGCTCTTTCCAAAGGAAAGTTCAACTCTGGGAGTTGAATACAAACATCACCAAAAAGTTCCTGAGAATGCATCTGTCTAGTTTTTCTATGAAGCTATTCCCTTTACTACCATAGGCCTCAAAGCGCTCCAAATCTCCACTTGCACATTCCACAACAAGAGTGTTTCCAAACTGCTCTATCAATAGGAATGTTCAACTCTGTGAGGTGAATGCAATCATCACAAAGCAGTTTCTGAGAATGCTTCCGTTTAGTTAGGTGCAGTTATCCCGTTTCCAACGAAATCCTCAGAGAGGTCCAAATATCCACTTGTAGATTCTACAAAAAGTGTGTCTCAAACCTGCTCCATCCAAAGGAATGTTCAGCTCTGTGAGTTGAACTCAATCATTACAAAGTATTTTCTGAGAATGCTTCTGTCTAGATTTTATGCGAAGATGTACCCGTTTCGAACGAAGGCCACAGAGTGGTCCAAATATCCACTTGCAGATCCTACAAAAAGAGTGTTTCAAACCTGAACTATCAAAGGAAGGTTCAACTCTGGGATTTGAATGCAAACATCACCAAGAAGTTTCTGAGAATGCTTCCGTTTAGTTTTTATGTGAAGATATTCCCGTTTCCAAAGACATCTTCGGAGAGGTCCACATATCCACTTGCAGATTCCACAAAAAGAGAGTTTCAACACTGCTCTATCCATAGGAGGGTTCAACTCTGTGAGTTGAATGCAATCATCACAGAGAAGTTTCTGAGAAGGCTTCTCTCCAGTTTTTATGTGACCATAATTCGTTTTCCACCACAGGCCTGAAAGCGCTCCAAATGTCCACTTGCAGACACTACGAAAAGCATGTTTCAGAACTACTCTATGAAAAGCAATGTGAAACTCTGGGAGTTGAACACAAACATCACAGAGAAGTTTCTGAGAATGCTTCTGTTTAGCTTTCCTGTGAAGATTCTCCCGTTTCCAACGAAATCTTCAAAATAGGTCCAAATATCCACTTGCAGATTCCACACAAAGAGTGATTGGAAACTGCTCTTTGAAAAGGAACCTTCAACTCTGTGAGTTGAATGCAATCATCACAAAGAAGTTTCTGACAATGCTTCTATCTAGCTTTTACGGGAAGATAATTCCTTTTCCACCACAGGCCTCAAAGCCCTCCAAATGTCCACTTGCAGATTCTGGAAAAAGAGTGTTTCAAAGCTTCTCTCTCGAAAGGAAAGTTCAACTCTGTGAGTTGAATGCAAGCATCACAAAGAAGTTTCTGAGAATGCTACTGTCTAGCTTTTATATGAAGCTATTTCCTTTACTACCATAGGCCTCAAAGCGGTCCATATCTCCACTTGCAGATTCTACACAAAGAGAGTTTCCAAACTGCTCTGTCAAAGGGAATGTTCAACTCTGTGACTTGAATGCAATCATCACAAAGTAGTTTCTGAGAATGCTTCTGTTTTAGTTCTGTGCGTTCTATCCCGTTTCCAACGAAATCCTCAGAGAGGCCCACATATCCACTTGCAGATTCTACAAATAGTGTGTTTCGAAACTGCTCCATCCAAAGGAATGTTCAGCTCTGTGAGTTAAACTCAGTCGTCACCAAGAGTTTTCTGTGAATGCTTCTGTTTTAGTTCTGTGCGGTTTATCCCGTTTCCAACGAAATCCTCAGAGAGGTCCAAATATCTACTTGCAGTTTCTACAGAAAGACCGTTTCAAACCTGAACTATCAAAGAAAGGTTCAACACTGTGAGTTGAATGCAAACATCACGAAGAAGGTTCTGAGAATGCTTCTGTTTTAGTTCTGTGCGGTTTATCCCGTTTCCAACGAAATCCTCAGAGAGGACCAAATATCCACTTGCAGTTTCTACAAAAAGAGTGTTTCAAAGCTGCACTATCAAAGAAAGGTTCAGCACTGTGAGTTGAATGCAAACATCACGAAGAGGGCTCTGAGAGTTCTTCTGTCTTCTTTCTATAGGAAGTTATTTCCTTTACTACGGTAGGCCTCAAAGAAGTGCAATTATCCCCTTGCAGTTTCTACAAAAAGAGTGTTTCAAACCTGAACTATCAAAGAAAGGTTCCACACTGTGAGTTGAATGCAGACATCACGAAGAAGGTTCTGAGAATGCTTCTGTTTAGTCAGCTGAAATTATCCCGTTTCCAACGAATTCCTCACAGAGGTCCAAATATGCACTTGCAGATTCTGCAGAAAGTGTGTTTCTAAACTGCTACATCGCAAGGAATGCTCAGCTCTGTGAGTTCAACTCAATCATCCCAAAGAATTTTCTGAGAAAGCTTCTGTCTAGATGTCATGTGAAGATATACCCGTTTCGATCGAAGGACACAGAGTGGTCCAAATATCCACTTGTAGATCCTGCAAAAAGAGTGTTTCAAACGTGAACTTTGAAAGGAAAGTTCAACTCGGGGATTTGAATGCAAACATCACAAAGAAGATTCTGAGACTGCTTCTGTATAGTTTTTATGTGAAGATGATTCCGTTTCCAACGAAATCTTCAAAGAGGTCTACATGTCCCCTTGCAGATGCCACAGAAAGAGAGTTTCAAAACTGCGCTCTCAAAAGGAGTGTTCAACTCCGTGAGTTGAATGCAGTCATCACAGAGAAGCTTCTGAGAATGCTTCTATCTAGTATTTAGGTGAAGATATTTCCTTTTCCACCACAAACCACAAAGCCCTCCAAACGTCCACTTGCAGATTCTAGAAAAAGAGTGTTTCATAGCTGCTCTTTCCAAAGGAAAGTTCAACTCTGGGAGTTGAATACAAACATCACCAAAAAGTTCCTGAGAATGCATCTGTCTAGTTTTTCTATGAAGCTATTCCCTTTACTACCACAGGCCTCAAAGCGCTCCAAATCTCCACTTGCACATTCCGCAACAAGAGTGTTTCCAAACTGCTCTATCAATAGGAATGTTCAACTCTGTGAGGTGAATGCAATCATCACAAAGCAGTTTCTGAGAATGCTTCCGTTTAGTTAGGTGCAGTTATCCCGTTTCCAACGAAATCCTCAGAGAGGTCCAAATATCCACTTGTAGATTCTACAAAAAGTGTGTCTCAAACCTGCTCCATCCAAAGGAATGGTCAGCTCTGTGATTTAAACTCAATCATCACAAAGTATTTTCTGAGAATGCTTCTGTCTAGATTTTATGCGAAGATATACCCGTTTCGAACGAAGGCCACAGAGTGGTCCAAATAGCCACTTGCAGATCCTACAGAAAGAGTGTTTCAAACCTGAACTATCAAAGGAAGGTTCAACTCTGGGATTTGAATGCAAACATCACCAAGAAGTTTCTGAGAATGCTTCTGTTTAGTTTTTATGTGAAGATATTCCCGTTTCCAAAGACATCTTCGGAGAGGTCCACATATCCACTTGCAGATTCCACAAAAAGAGAGTTTCAACACTGCTCTATCCATAGGAGGGTTCAACTCTGTGAGTTGAATGCAATCATCACAGAGAAGTTTCTGAGAAGGCTTCTCTCCAGTTTTTATGTGACCATAATTCGTTTTCCACCACAGGCCTGAAAGCGCTCCAAATGTCCACTTGCAGACACTACGAAAAGCATGTTTCAGAACTACTCTATGAAAAGCAACGTGAAACTCTGGGAGTTGAACACAAACATCACAGAGAAGTTTCTGAGAATGCTTCTGTTTTAGTTCTGTGCGTTTTATCCCGTTTCCAACGAAATCCTCAGAGAGGCCCAAATATCCACTTGCAGATTCCACAGAAAGAGT
Source organism: Homo sapiens (assembly GCF_000001405.40). NCBI lineage: Eukaryota > Metazoa > Chordata > Mammalia > Primates > Hominidae > Homo > Homo sapiens. The sequence goes on along the minus strand of NC_000017.11, from coordinate 26,396,630 downwards.
GATTGGAAACTGCTGTTTGAAAAGGAACCTTCAACTCTGTGAGTTGAATGCAATCATCACAAAGAAGTTTCTGACAATGCTTCTATCTAGCTTTTACGGGAAGATAATTCCTTTTCCACCACAGGCCTCAAAGCCCTCCAAATGTCCACTTGCAGATTCTGGAAAAAGAGTGTTTCAAAGCTTCTCTCTCGAAAGGAAAGTTCAACTCTGTGAGTTGAATGCAAGCATCACAAAGAAGTTTCTGAGAATGCTACTGTCTAGCTTTTATATGAAGCTATTTCCTTTACTACCATAGGCCTCAAAGCGGTCCATATCTCCACTTGCAGATTCTACACAAAGAGAGTTTCCAAACTGCTCTGTCAAAGGGAATGTTCAACTCTGTGACTTGAATGCAATCATCACAAAGTAGTTTCTGAGAATGCTTCTGTTTTAGTTCTGTGCGTTTTATCCCGTTTCCAACGAAATCCTCAGAGAGGCCCAAATATCCACTTGCAGATTCTACAAATAGTGTGTTTCGAAACTGCTCCATCCAAAGGAATGTTCAGCTCTGTGAGTTAAACTCAGTCGTCACCAAGAGTTTTCTGTGAATGCTTCTGTTTTAGTTCTGTGCGGGTTATCCCGTTTCCAACGAAATCCTCAGAGAGGTCCAAATATCTACTTGCAGTTTCTACAGAAAGACCGTTTCAAACCTGAACTATCAAAGAAAGGTTCAACACTGTGAGTTGAATGCAAACATCACGAAGAAGGTTCTGAGAATGCTTCTGTTTAGTTCTGTGCGGTTTATCCCGTTTCCAACGAAATCCTCAGAGAGGACCAAATATCCACTTGCAGTTTCTACAAGAAGAGTGTTTCAAAGCTGAACTATCAAAGAAAGGTTCAGCACTGTGAGTTGAATGCAAACATCACGAAGAGGGTTCTGAGAATGCTTCTGTCTTCTTTCTATAGGAAGTTATTTCCTTTACTACGGTAGGCCTCAAAGAAGTGCAATTATCCCCTTGCAGTTTCTACAAAAAGAGTGTTTCAAACCTGAACTATCAAAGAAAGGTTCCACACTGTGAGTTGAATGCAGACATCACGAAGAAGGTTCTGAGAATGCTTCTGTTTAGTCAGCTGAAATTATCCCGTTTCCAACGAATTCCTCAGAGAGGTCCAAATATGCACTTGCAGATTCTGCAGAAAGTGTGTTTCTAAACTGCTACATCGCAAGGAATGTTCAGCTCTGTGAGTTCCACTCAATCATCCCAAAGAATTTTCTGAGAAAGCTTCTGTCTAGATGTCATGTGAAGATATACCCGTTTCGAACGAAGGACACAGAGTGGTCCAAATATCCACTTGTAGATCCTGCAAAAAGAGTGTTTCAAACGTGAACTTTGAAAGGAAAGTTCAACTCGGGGATTTGAATGCAAACATCACAAAGAAGATTCTGAGACTGCTTCTGTATAGTTTTTATGTGAAGATGATTCCGTTTCCAACGAAATCTTCAAAGAGGTCTACATGTCCCCTTGCAGATGCCACAGAAAGAGAGTTTCAAAACTGCGCTCTCAAAAGGAGTGTTGAACTCCGTGAGTTGAATGCAGTCATCACAGAGAAGCTTCTGAGAATGCTTCTATCTAGTATTTAGGTGAAGATATTTCCTTTTCCACCACAAACCACAAAGCCCTCCAAACGTCCACTTGCAGATTCTAGAAAAAGAGTGTTTCATAGCTGCTCTTTCCAAAGGAAAGTTCAACTCTGGGAGTTGAATACAAACATCACCAAAAAGTTCCTGAGAATGCATCTGTCTAGTTTTTCTATGAAGCTATTCCCTTTACTACCATAGACCTCAAAGCGCTCCAAATCTCCACTTGCACATTCCACAACAAGAGTGTTTCCAAACTGCTCTATCAATAGGAATGTTCAACTCTGTGAGGTGAATGCAATCATCACAAAGCAGTTTCTGAGAATGCTTCCGTTTAGTTAGGTGCAGTTATCGCGTTTCCAACGAAATCCTCAGAGAGGTCCAAATATCCACTTGTAGATTCTACAAAAAGTGTGTCTCAAACCTGCTCCATCCAAAGGAATGTTCAGCTCTGTGAGTTAAACTCAATCATCACAAAGTATTTTCTGAGAATGCTTCTGTCTAGATTTTATGCGAAGATATACCCGTTTCGAACGAAGGCCACAGAGTGGTCCAAATATCCACTTGCAGATCCTACAAAAAGAGTGTTTCAAACCTGAACTATCAAAGGAAGGTTCAACTCTGGGATTTGAATGCAAACATCACCAAGAAGTTTCTGAGAATGCTTCTGTTTAGTTTTTATGTGAAGATATTCCCGTTTCCAAAGACATCTTCGGAGAGGTCCACATATCCACTTGCAGATTCCACAAAAAGAGAGTTTCAACACTGCTCTATCCCATAGGAGGGTTCAACTCTGTGAGTTGAATGCAATCATCACAGAGAAGTTTCTGAGAAGGCTTCTCTCCAGTTTTTATGTGACCATAATTCGTTTTCCACCACAGGCCTGAAAGCGCTCCAAATGTCCACTTGCAGACACTACGAAAAGCATGTTTCAGAACTACTCTATGAAAAGCAACGTGAAACTCTGGGAGTTGAACACAAACATCACAGAGAAGTTTCTGAGAATGCTTCTGTTTTAGTTCTGTGCGTTTTATCCCGTTTCCAACGAAATCCTCAGAGAGGCCCAAATATCCACTTGCAGATTCCACAGAAAGAGTGATTGGAAACTGCTGTTTGAAAAGGAACCTTCAACTCTGTGAGTTGAATGCAATCATCACAAAGAAGTTTCTGACAATGCTTCTATCTAGCTTTTACGGGAAGATAATTCCTTTTCCACCACAGGCCTCAAAGCCCTCCAAATGTCCACTTGCAGATTCTGGAAAAAGAGTGTTTCAAAGCTTCTCTCTCGAAAGGAAAGTTCAACTCTGTGAGTTGAATGCAAGCATCACAAAGAAGTTTCTGAGAATGCTACTGTCTAGCTTTTATATGAAGCTATTTCCTTTACTACCATAGGCCTCAAAGCGGTCCATATCTCCACTTGCAGATTCTACACAAAGAGAGTTTCCAAACTGCTCTGTCAAAGGGAATGTTCAACTCTGTGACTTGAATGCAATCATCACAAAGTAGTTTCTGAGAATGCTTCTGTTTAGTTCTGTGCGGTTTATCCCGTTTCCAACGAAATCCTCAGAGAGGCCTAAATATCCACTTGCACATTCTACAAATAGTGTGTTTCGAAACTGCTCCATCCAAAGGAATGTTCAGCTCTGTGAGTTAAACTCAGTCGTCACCAAGAGTTTTCTGTGAATGCTTCTGTTTTAGTTCTGTGCGGGTTATCCCGTTTCCAACGAAATCCTCAGAGAGGTCCAAATATCTACTTGCAGTTTCTACAGAAAGACCGTTTCAAACCTGAACTATCAAAGAAAGGTTCAACACTGTGAGTTGAATGCAAACATCACGAAGAAGGTTCTGAGAATGCTTCTGTTTTAGTTCTGTGCGGTTTATCCCGTTTCCAACGAAATCCTCAGAGAGGACCAAACATCCACTTGCAGTTTCTACAAAAAGAGTGTTTCAAAGCTGCACTATCAAAGAAAGGTTCAGCACTGTGAGTTGAATGCAAACATCACGAAGAGGGCTCTGAGAATTCTTCTGTCTTCTTTTTATAGGAAGTTATTTCCTTTACTACGGTACTCCTCAAAGAGTGCAATTATCCCCTTGCAGTTTCTACAAAAAGAGTGTTTCAAACCTGAACTATCAAAGAAAGGTTCCACACTGTGAGTTGAATGCAGACATCACGAAGAAGGTTCTGAGAATGCTTCTGTTTTGTCAGCTGAAATTATCCCGTTTCCAACGAATTCCTCAGAGAGGTCCACATATGCACTTGCAGATTCTGCAGAAAGTGTGTTTCTAAACTGCTACATCGCAAGGAGTGTTCAGCTCTGTTTGCTCAACTCAATCATCCCAAAGAATTTTCTGAGAAAGCTTCTGTCTAGATGTCATGTGAAGATATACCCGTTTCGAACGAAGGACACAGAGTGGTCCAAATATCCACTAGTAGATCCTGCAAAAAGAGTGTTTCAAACGTGAACTTTGAAAGGAAAGTTCAACTCTGGGATTTGAATGCAAACATCACAAAGAAGATTCTGAGACTGCTTCTGTATAGTTTTTATGTGAAGATGATTCCGTTTCCAACGAAATCTTCAAAGAGGTCTACATGTCCCCTTGCAGATGCCACAGAAAGAGAGTTTCAAAACTGCGCTCTCAAAAGGAGTGTTCAACTCCGTGAGTTGAATGCAGTCATCACAGAGAAGCTTCTGAGAATGCTTCTATCTAGTATTTAGGTGAAGATATTTCCTTTTCCACCACAAACCACAAAGCCCTCCAAACGTCCACTTGCAGATTCTAGAAAAAGAGTGTTTCATAGCTGCTCTTTCCAAAGGAAAGTTCAACTCTGGGAGTTGAATACAAACATCACCAAAAGGTTCCTGAGAATGCATCTGTCTAGTTTTTCTATGAAGCTATTCCCTTTACTACCACAGGCCTCAAAGCGCTCCAAATCTCCACTTGCACATTCCACAACAAGAGTGTTTCCAAACTGCTCTATCAATAGGAATGTTCAACTCTGTGAGGTGAATGCAATCATCACAAAGCAGTTTCTGAGAATGCTTCCGTTTAGTTAGGTGCAGTTATCAGGTTTCCAACGAAATCCTCAGAGAGGTCCAAATATCCACTTGTAGATTCTACAAAAAGTGTGTCTCAAACCTGCTCCATCCAAAGGAATGTTCAGATCTGTGAGTTAAACTCAATCATCACAAAGTATTTTCTGAGAATGCTTCTGTCTAGATTTTATGCGAAGATATACCCGTTTCGAACGAAGGCCACAGAGTGGTCCAAATAGCCACTTGCAGATCCTACAGAAAGAGTGTTTCAAACCTGAACTATCAAAGGAAGGTTCAACTCTGGGATTTGAATGCAAACATCACCAAGAAGTTTCTGAGAATGCTTCTGTTTAGTTTTTATGTGAAGATATTCCCGTTTCCAAAGACATCTTCGGAGAGGTCCACATATCCACTTGCAGATTCCACAAAAAGAGAGTTTCAACACTGCTCTATCCATAGGAGGGTTCAACTCTGTGAGTTGAATGCAATCATCACAGAGAAGTTTCTGAGAAGGCTTCTCTCCAGTTTTTTTGTGACCATAATTCGTTTTCCACCACAGGCCTGAAAGCGCTCCAAATGTCCACTTGCAGACACTACGAAAAGCATGTTTCAGAACTACTCTATGAAAAGCAACGTGAAACTCTGGGAGTTGAACACAAACATCACAGAGAAGTTTCTGAGAATGCTTCTGTTTAGCTTTCCTGTGAAGATTCTCCCGTTTCCAACGAAATCTTCAAAATAGGTCCAAATATCCACTTGCAGATTCCACACAAAGAGTGATTGGAAACTGCTCTTTGAAAAGGAACCTTCAACTCTGTGAGTTGAATGCAATCATCACAAAGAAGTTTCTGACAATGCTTCTATCTAGCTTTTACGGGAAGATAATTCCTTTTCCACCACAGGCCTCAAAGCCCTCCAAATGTCCACTTGCAGATTCTGGAAAAAGAGTGTTTCAAAGCTTCTCTCTCGAAAGGAAAGTTCAACTCTGTGAGTTGAATGCAAGCATCACAAAGAAGTTTCTGAGAATGCTACTGTCTAGCTTTTATATGAAGCTATTTCCTTTACTACCATAGGCCTCAAAGCGGTCCATATCTCCACTTGCAGATTCTACACAAAGAGAGTTTCCAAACTGCTCTGTCAAAGGGAATGTTCAACTCTGTGACTTGAATGCAATCATCACAAAGTAGTTTCTGAGAATGCTTCTGTTTAGTTCTGTGCGGTTTATCCCGTTTCCAACGAAATCCTCAGAGAGGCCCAAATATCCACTTGCACATTCTACAAATAGTGTGTTTCGAAACTGCTCCATCCAAAGGAATGTTCAGCTCTGTGAGTTAAACTCAGTCGTCACCAAGAGTTTTCTGTGAATGCTTCTGTTTAGTTCTGTGCGGTTTATCCCGTTTCCAACGAAATCCTCAGAGAGGTCCAAATATCTACTTGCAGTTTCTACAGAAAGACCGTTTCAAACCTGAACTATCAAAGAAAGGTTCAACACTGTGAGTTGAATGCAAACATCACGAAGAAGGTTCTGAGAATGCTTCTGTCTTCTTTCAATAGGAAGTTATTTCCTTTACTACGGTAGGCCTCAAAGAAGTGCAATTATCCCCTTGCAGTTTCTACAAAAAGAGTGTTTCAAACCTGAACTATCAAAGAAAGGTTCCACACTGTGAGTTGAATGCAGACATCACGAAGAAGGTTCTGAGAATGCTTCTGTTTAGTCAGCTGAAATTATCCCGTTTCCAACGAATTCCTCAGAGAGGTCCAAATATGCACTTGCAGATTCTGCAGAAAGTGTGTTTCTAAACTGCTACATCGCAAGGAATGTTCAGCACTGTGAGTTCCACTCAATCATCCCAAAGAATTTTCTGAGAAAGCTTCTGTCTAGCTGTCATGTGAAGATATACCCGTTTCGAACGAAGGACACAGAGTGGTCCAAATATCCACTTGTAGATCCTGCAAAAAGAGTGTTTCAAACGTGAACTTTGAAAGGAAAGTTCAACTCTGGGATTTGAATGCAAACATCACAAAGAAGATTCCTGAGACTGTCTGTATAGTTTTTATGTGAAGATGATTCCGTTTCCAACGAAATCTTCAAAGAGGTCTACATGTCCCCTTGCGGATGCCACAGAAAGAGAGTTTCAAAACTGCGCTCTCAAAAGGAGTGTTCAACTCCGTGAGTTGAATGCAGTCATCACAGAGAAGCTTCTGAGAATGCTTCTATCTAGTATTTAGGTGAAGATATTTCCTTTTCCACCACAAACCACAAAGCCCTCCAAACGTCCACTTGCAGATTCTAGAAAAAGAGTGTTTCATAGCTGCTCTTTCCAAAGGAAAGTTCAACTCTGGGAGTTGAATACAAACATCACCAAAAAGTTCCTGAGAATGCATCTGTCTAGTTTTTCTATGAAGCTATTCCCTTTACTACCATAGGCCTCAAAGCGCTCCAAATCTCCACTTGCACATTCCACAACAAGAGTGTTTCCAAACTGCTCTATCAATAGGAATGTTCAACTCTGTGAGGTGAATGCAATCATCACAAAGCAGTTTCTGAGAATGCTTCCGTTTAGTTAGGTGCAGTTATCCCGTTTCCAACGAAATCCTCAGAGAGGTCCAAATATCCACTTGTAGATTCTACAAAAAGTGTGTCTCAAACCTGCTCCATCCAAAGGAATGGTCAGCTCTGTGATTTAAACTCAATCATCACAAAGTATTTTCTGAGAATGCTTCTGTCTAGATTTTATGCGAAGATATACCCGTTTCGAACGAAGGCCACAGAGTGGTCCAAATAGCCACTTGCAGATCCTACAGAAAGAGTGTTTCAAACCTGAACTATCAAAGGAAGGTTCAACTCTGGGATTTGAATGCAAACATCACCAAGAAGTTTCTGAGAATGCTTCTGTTTAGTTTTTATGTGAAGATATTCCCGTTTCCAAAGACATCTTCGGAGAGGTCCACATATCCACTTGCAGATTCCACAAAAAGAGAGTTTCAACACTGCTCTATCCATAGGAGTGTTCAACTCTGTGAGTTGAATGCAATCATCACAGAGAAGTTTCTGAGAAGGCTTCTCTCCAGTTTTTATGTGACCATAATTCGTTTTCCACCACAGGCCTGAAAGCGCTCCAAACGTCCACTTGCAGACACTACGAAAAGCATGTTTCAGAACTACTCTATGAAAAGCAATGTGAAACTCTGGGAGTTGAACACAAACATCACAGAGAAGGTTCTGAGAATGCTTCTGTTTAGCTTTTCTGTGAAGATTCTCCCGTTTCCAACGAAATCTTCAAAGAGGTCGAAATATCCACTTGCAGATTCCACAGAAAGAGTGATTGGAAACTGCTGTTTGAAAAGGAACCTTCAACTCTGTGAGTTGAATGCAATCATCACAAAGAAGTTTCTGACAATGCTTCTATCTAGCTTTTACGGGAAGATAATTCCTTTTCCACCACAGGCCTCAAAGCTCCCCAAATGTCCACTTGCACATTCTGGAAAAAGAGTGTTTCAAAGCTTCTCTCTCGAAAGGAAAGTTCAACTCTGTGAGTTGAATGCAAGCATCACAAAGAAGTTTTCTGAGAATGCTACTGTCTAGCTTTTATATGAAGCTATTTCCTTTACTACCATAGGCCTCAAAGCGGTCCATATCTCCACTTGCAGATTCTACACAAAGAGAGTTTCCAAACTTCTCTGTCAAAGGGAATGTTCAACTCTGTGACTTGAATGCAATCATCACAAAGTAGTTTCTGAGAATGCTTCTGTTTAGTTCTGTGCGGTTTATCCCGTTTCCAACGAAATCCTCAGAGAGGCCTAAATATCCACTTGCACATTCTACAAATAGTGTGTTTCGAAACTGCTCCATCCAAAGGAATGTTCAGCTCTGTGAGTTAAACTCAGTCGTCACCAAGAGTTTTCTGTGAATGCTTCTGTTTTAGTTCTGTGCGGGTTATCCCGTTTCCAACGAAATCCTCAGAGAGGTCCAAATATCTACTTGCAGTTTCTACAGAAAGACCGTTTCAAACCTGAACTATCAAAGAAAGGTTCAACACTGTGAGTTGAATGCAAACATCACGAAGAAGGTTCTGAGAATGCTTCTGTTTAGTTCTGTGCGGTTTATCCCGTTTCCAACGAAATCCTCAGAGAGGACCAAATATCCACTTGCAGTTTCTACAAGAAGAGTGTTTCAAAGCTGAACTATCAAAGAAAGGTTCAGCACTGTGAGTTGAATGCAAACATCACGAAGAGGGTTCTGAGAATGCTTCTGTCTTCTTTCTATAGGAAGTTATTTCCTTTACTACGGTAGGCCTCAAAGAAGTGCAATTATCCCCTTGCAGTTTCTACAAAAAGAGTGTTTCAAACCTGAGCTATCAAAGAAAGGTTCCACACTGTGAGTTGAATGCAGACATCACGAAGAAGGTTCTGAGAATGCTTCTGTTTAGTCAGCTGAAATTATCCCGTTTCCAACGAATTCCTCACAGAGGTCCAAATATGCACTTGCAGATTCTGCAGAAAGTGTGTTTCTAAACTGCTACATCGCAAGGAATGCTCAGCTCTGTGAGTTCAACTCAATCATCCCAAAGAATTTTCTGAGAAAGCTTCTGTCTAGATGTCGTGTGAAGATATACCCGTTTCGAACGAAGGACACAGAGTGGTCCAAATATCCACTTGTAGATCCTGCAAAAAGAGTGTTTCAAACGTGAACTTTGAAAGGAAAGTTCAACTCTGGGATTTGAATGCAAACATCACAAAGAAGATTCTGAGACTGCTTCTATATAGTTTTTATGTGAAGATGATTCCGTTTCCAACGAAATCTTCAAAGAGGTCTACATGTCCCCTTGCAGATGCCACAGAAAGAGAGTTTCAAAACTGCGCTCTCAAAAGGAGTGTTCAACTCCGTGAGTTGAATGCAGTCATCACAGAGAAGCGTCTGAGAATGCTTCTATCTAGTATTTAGGTGAAGATATTTCCTTTTCCACCACAAACCACAAAGCCCTCCAAACGTCCACTTGCAGATTCTAGAAAAAGAGTGTTTCATAGCTGCTCTTTCCAAAGGAAAGTTCAACTCTGGGAGTTGAATACAAACATCACCAAAAAGTTCCTGAGAATGCATCTGTCTAGTTTTTCTATGAAGCTATTCCCTTTACTACCATAGGCCTCAAAGCGCTCCAAATCTCCACTTGCACATTCCACAACAAGAGTGTTTCCAAACTGCTCTATCAATAGGAATGTTCAACTCTGTGAGGTGAATGCAATCATCACAAAGCAGTTTCTGAGAATGCTTCCGTTTAGTTAGGTGCAGTTATCCCGTTTCCAACGAAATCCTCAGAGAGGTCCAAATATCCACTTGTAGATTCTACAAAAAGTGTGTCTCAAACCTGCTCCATCCAAAGGAATGGTCAGCTCTGTGATTTAAACTCAATCATCACAAAGTATTTTCTGAGAATGCTTCTGTCTAGATTTTATGCGAAGATATACCCGTTTCGAACGAAGGCCACAGAGTGGTCCAAATAGCCACTTGCAGATCCTACAGAAAGAGTGTTTCAAACCTGAACTATCAAAGGAAGGTTCAACTCTGGGATTTGAATGCAAACATCACCAAGAAGTTTCTGAGAATGCTTCTGTTTAGTTTTTATGTGAAGATATTCCCGTTTCCAAAGACATCTTCGGAGACGTCCACATATCCGCTTGCAGATTCCACAAAAAGAGAGTTTCAACACTGCTCTATCCATAGGAGGGTTCAACTCTGTGAGTTGAATGCAATCATCACAGAGAAGTTTCTGAGAAGGCTTCTCTCCAGTTTTTATGTGACCATAATTCGTTTTCCACCACAGGCCTGAAAGCGCTCCAAATGTCCACTTGCAGACACTACGAAAAGCATGTTTCAGAACTACTCTATGAGAAGCAATGTGAAACTCTGGGAGTTGAAAACAAACATCACAGAGAAGTTTCTGAGAATGCTTCTGTTTTAGTTCTGTGCGTTTTATCCCGTTTCCAACGAAATCCTCAGAGAGGCCCAAATATCCACTTGCAGATTCCACAGAAAGAGTGATTGGAAACTGCTGTTTGAAAAGGAACCTTCAACTCTGTGAGTTGAATGCAATCATCACAAAGAAGTTTCTGACAATGCTTCTATCTAGCTTTTACGGGACAATAATTCCTTTTCCACCACAGGCCTCAAAGCCCTCCAAATGTCCACTTGCAGATTCTGGAAAAAGATTGTTTCAAAGCTTCTCTCTCGAAAGGAAAGTTCAACTCTGTGAGTTGAATGCAAGCATCACAAAGAAGTTTCTGAGAATGCTACTGTCTAGCTTTTATATGAAGCTATTTCCTTTACTACCATAGGCCTCAAAGCGGTCCATATCTCCACTTGCAGATTCTACACAAAGAGAGTTTCCAAACTGCTCTGTCAAAGGGAATGTTCAACTCTGTGACTTGAATGCAATCATCACAAAGTAGTTTCTGAGAATGCTTCTGTTTAGTTCTGTGCGGTTTATCCCGTTTCCAACGAAATCCTCAGAGAGGCCTAAATATCCACTTGCACATTCTACAAATAGTGTGTTTCGAAACTGCTCCATCCAAAGGAATGTTCAGCTCTGTGAGTTAAACTCAGTCGTCACCAAGAGTTTTCTGTGAATGCTTCTGTTGTAGTTCTGTGCGGTTTATCCCGTTTCCAACGAAATCCTCAGAGAGGTCCAAATATCTACTTGCAGTTTCTACAGAAAGACCGTTTCAAACCTGAACTATCAAAGAAAGGTTCAACACTGTGAGTTGAATGCAAACATCACGAAGAAGGTTCTGAGAATGCTTCTGTTTAGTTCTGTGCAGTTTATCCCGTTTCCAACGAAATGCTCAGAGAGGACCAAATATCCACTTGCAGTTTCTACAAAAAGAGTGTTTCAAAGCTGAACTATCAAAGAAAGGTTCAGCACTGTGAGTTGAATGCAAACATCACGAAGAGGGTTCTGAGAATGCTTCTGTCTTCTTTTTATAGGAAGTTATTTCCTTTACTACGGTAGGCCTCAAAGAAGTGCAATTATCCCCTTGCAGTCTCTACAAAAAGAGTGTTTCAAACCTGAACTATCAAAGAAAGTTTCCACACTGTGAGTTGAATGCAGACATCACGAAGAAGGTTCTGAGAATGCTTCTGTTTAGTCAGCTGAAATTATCCCGTTTCCAACGAATTCCTCAGAGAGGTCCAAATATGCACTTGCAGATTCTGCAGAAAGTGTGTTTCTAAACTGCTACATCGCAAGGAATGTTCAGCTCTGTGAGTTCCACTCAATCATCCCAAAGAATTTTCTGAGAAAGCTTCTGTCTAGATGTCGTGTGAAGATATACCCGTTTCGAAAGAAGGACACAGAGTGGTCCAAATATCCACTTGTAGATCCTGCAAAAAGAGTGTTTCAAACGTGAACTTTGAAGGGAAAGTTCAACTCTGGGATTTGAATGCAAACATCACAAAGAAGATTCTGAGACTGCTTCTGTATAGTTTTTATGTGAAGATGATTCCGTTTCCAACGAAATCTTCAAAGAGGTCTGCATGTCCCCTTGCAGATGCCACAGAAAGAGAGTTTCAAAACTGCGCTCTCAAAAGGAGTGTTCAACTCCGTGAGTTGAATGCAGTCATCACAGAGAAGCTTCTGAGAATGCTTCTATCTAGTATTTAGGTGAAGATATTTCCTTTTCCACCACAAACCACAAAGCCCTCCAAACGTCCACTTGCAGATTCTAGAAAAAGAGTGTTTCATAGCTGCTCTTTCCAAAGGAAAGTTCAACTCTGGGAGTTGAATACAAACATCACCAAAAGGTTCCTGAGAATGCATCTGTCTAGTTTTTCTATGAAGCTATTCCCTTTACTACCATAGGCCTCAAAGCGCTCCAAATCTCCACTTGCACATTCCACAAGAAGAGCGTTTCCAAACTGCTCTATCAATAGGAATGTTCAACTCTGTGAGGTGAATGCAATCATCACAAAGCAGTTTCTGAGAATGCTTCCGTTTAGTTAGGTGCAGTTATCCCGTTTCCAACGAAATCCTCAGAGAGGTCCAAATATCCACTTGTAGATTCTACAAAAAGTGTGTCTCAAACCTGCTCCATCCAAAGGAATGTTCAGCTCTGTGAGTTCAACTCAATCATAACAAAGTATTTTCTGAGAATTCTTCTGTCTAGATTTTATGCGAAGATGTACCCGTTTCGAACGAAGGCCACAGAGTGGTCCAAATATCCACTTGCAGATCCTACAAAAAGAGTGTTTCAAACCTGAACTATCAAAGGAAGGTTCAACTCTGGGATTTGAATGCAAACATCACCAAGAAGTTTCTGAGAATGCTTCTGTTTAGTTTTTATGTGAAGATATTCCCGTTTCCAAAGACATCTTCGGAGAGGTCCACATATCCACTTGCAGATTCCACAAAAAGAGAGTTTCAACACTGCTCTATCCATAGGAGGGTTCAACTCTGTGAGTTGAATGCAATCATCACAGAGAAGTTTCTGAGAAGGCTTCTCTCCAGTTTTTATGTGACCATAATTCGTTTTCCACCACAGGCCTGAAAGCGCTCCAAATGTCCACTTGCAGACACTACGAAAAGCATGTTTCAGAACTACTCTATGAAAAGCAACGTGAAACTCTGGGAGTTGAACACAAACATCACAGAGAAGTTTCTGAGAATGCTTCTGTTTTAGTTCTGTGCGTTTTATCCCGTTTCCAACGAAATCCTCAGAGAGGCCCAAATATCCACTTGCAGATTCCACAGAAAGAGTGATTGGAAACTGCTGTTTGAAAAGGAACCTTCAACTCTGTGAGTTGAATGCAATCATCACAAAGAAGTTTCTGACAATGCTTCTATCTAGCTTTTACGGGAAGATAATTCCTTTTCCACCACAGGCCTCAAAGCCCTCCAAATGTCCACTTGCAGATTCTGGAAAAAGAGTGTTTCAAAGCTTCTCTCTCGAAAGGAAAGTTCAACTCTGTGAGTTGAATGCAAGCATCACAAAGAAGTTTCTGAGAATGCTACTGTTTAGCTTTTATATGAAGCTATTTCCTTTACTACCATAGTCCTCAAAGCGGTCCATATCTCCACTTGCAGATTCTACACAAAGAGAGTTTCCAAACTGCTCTGTCAAAGGGAATGTTCAACTCTGTGACTTGAATGCAATCATCACAAAGTAGTTTCTGAGAATGCTTCTGTTTAGTTCTGTGTGGTTTATCCCGTTTCCAACGAAATCCTCAGAGAGGCCCCAATATCCACTTGCACATTCTACAAATAGTGTTTTTCGAAACTGCTCCATCCAAAGGGATGTTCAGCTCTGTGAGTTAAACGCAGTCGTCACCAAGAGTTTTCCTGTGAATGCTTCTGTTTTAGTTCTGTGCGGTTTATCCCGTTTCCAACGAAATCCTCAGAGAGGTCCAAATATCCACTTGCAGTTTCTACAAAAAGAGTGTTTCAAATCTGAACTATCAAAGAAAGGTTCAGCACTGTGAGTTGAATGCAAACATCACGAAGAAGGTTCTGAGGATGCTTCTGTTTAGTTCTGTGCAGTTTATCCCGTTACCAACGAAATCCTCACAGAGGACCAAATGTCCACTTGCAGTTTCTACAAAAACAGTGTTTCAAAGCTGAACTATCAAAGAAAGGTTCAGCACTGTGAGTTGAATGCAAACATCACGAAGAGGGTTCTGAGAATGCTTCTGTCTTCTTTTTATAGGAAGTTATTTCCTTTACTACGGTAGGCCTCAAAGAAGTGCAATTATCCCCTTGCAGTTTCTACAAAAAGAGTGTTTCAAAGCTGAACTATCAAAGAAAGGTTCAGCACTGTGAGTTGAATGCAGACATCACGAAGAGGGTTCTGAGAATGCTTCTGTTTAGTCAGCTGAAATTATCCCGTTTCCAACGAATTCCTCAGAGAGGTCCAAATATGCACTTGCAGATTCTGCAGAAGGTGTGTTTCTAAACTGCTACATCGCAAGGAATGTTCAGCTCTGTGAGTTCCACTCAATCATCCCAAAGAATTTTCTGAGAAAGCTTCTGTCTAGATGTCATGTGAAGATATACCCGTTTCGAACGAAGGACACAGAGTGGTCCAAATATCCACTTGTAGATCCTGCAAAAAGAGTGTTTCAAACGTGAACTTTGAAAGGATAGTTCAACTCTGGGATTTGAATGCAAACATCACAAAGAAGATTCTGAGACTGCTTCTGTATAGTTTTTATGTGAAGATTATTCCGTTTCCAACGAAATCTTCAAAGAGGTCTACATGTCCCCTTGCAGATGCCACAGAAAGAGAGTTTCAAAACTGCGCTCTCAAAAGGAGTGTTCAACTCCGTGAGTTGAATGCAGTCATCACAGAGAAGCTTCTGAGAATGCTTTCTATCTAGTATTTAGGTGAAGATATTTCCTTTTCCACCACAAACCACAAAGCCCTCCAAACGTCCACTTGCAGATTCTAGAAAAAGAGTGTTTCATAGCTGCTCTTTCCAAAGGAAAGTTCAACTCTGGGAGTTGAATACAAACATCACCAAAAAGTTCCTGAGAATGCATCTGTCTAGTTTTTCTATGAAGCTATTCCCTTTACTAACATAGGCCTCAAAGCGCTCCAAATCTCCACTTGCACATTCCACAACAAGAGTGTTTCCAAACTGCTCTATCAATAGGAATGTTCAACTCTGTGAGGTGAATGCAATCATCACAAAGCAGTTTCTGAGAATGCTTCCGTTTAGTTAGGTGCAGTTATCCCGTTTCCAACGAAATCTTCAGAGAGGTCCAAATATCCACCTGTAGATTCTACAAAAAGTGTGTTTCAAACCTGCTCCATCGAAAGGAATGTTCAGCTCTGTGAGTTCAACTCAATCATCACAAAATATTTTCTGAGAATGCTTCTCTCTAGATTTTATGCGAAGATGTACCCGTTTCGAACGAAGGCCAGAGAGTGGTCCAAATATCCACTTGCAGATCCTACAAAAAGAGTGTTTCAAACCTGAACTATCAAAGGAAGGTTCAACTCTGGGATTGGAATGCAAACATCACCAAGAACTTTCTGAGAATGCTTCTGTTTAGTTTTTATGTGAAGATATTCCCGTTTCCAAAGACATCTTCGGAGAGGTCCACATATCCACTTGCAGATTCCACAAAAAGAGAGTTTCAACACTGCTCTATCCATAGGAGGGTTCAACTCTGTGAGTTGAATGCAATCATCACAGAGAAGTTTCTGAGAAGGCTTCTCTCCAGTTTTTATGTGACCATAATTCGTTTTCCACCACAGGCCTGAAAGCGCTCCAAATGTCCACTTGTAGACACTACGAAAAGCATGTTTCAGAACTACTCTATGAAAAGCAATGTGAAACTCTGGGAGTTGAACACAAACATCACAGAGAAGTTTCTGAGAATGCTTCTGTTTAGCTTTCCTGTGAAGATTCTCCCGTTTCCAACGAAATCTTCAAAATAGGTCCAAATATCCACTTGCAGATTCCACAGAAAGAGTGATTGGAAACTGCTCTTTGAAAAGGAACCTTCAACTCTGTGAGTTGAATGCAATCATCACAAAGAAGTTTCTGACAATGCTTCTATCTAGCTTTTACGGGGAAGATAATTCCTTTTCCACCACAGGCCTCAAAGCCCTCCAAATGTCCACTTGCAGATTCTGGAAAAAGAGTGTTTCAAAGCTTCTCTCTCGAAAGGAAAGTTCAACTCTGTGAGTTGAATGCAAGCATCACAAAGAAGTTTCTGAGAATGCTACTGTCTAGCTTTTATATGAAGCTATTTCCTTTACTACCATAGGCCTCAAAGCGGTCCATATCTCCACTTGCAGATTCTACACAAAGAGAGTTTCCAAACTGCTCTGTCAAAGGGAATGTTCAACTCTGTGACTTGAATGCAATCATCACAAAATAGTTTCTGAGAATGCTTCTGTTTAGTTCTGTGCGGTATATCCCATTTCCAACGAAATCCTCAGAGAGGCCCAAATATCCACTTGCACATTCTACAAATAGTGTGTTTCGAAACTGCTCCATCCAAAGGAATGTTCAGCTCTGTGAGTTAAACTCTGTCGTCACCAAGAGTTTTCTGTGAATGCTTCTGTTTTAGTTCTGTGCGGTTTATCCCGTTTCCAACGAAATCCTCAGAGAGGTCCAAATATCTACTTGCAGTTTCTACAGAAAGACCGTTTCCAACCTGAACTATCAAAGAAAGGTTCAACACTGTGAGTTGAATGCAAACATCACGAAGAAGGTTCTGAGAATGCTTCTGTTTAGTTCTGTGCGGTTTATCCCGTTTCCAACGAAATCCTCAGAGAGGACCAAATATCCACTTGCAGTTTCTACAAGAAGAGTGTTTCAAAGCTGAACTATCAAAGAAAGGTTCAGAACTGTGAGTTGAATGCAAACATCACGAAGAGGGTTCTGAGAATGCTTCTGTCTTCTTTTTATAGGAAGTTATTTCCTTTACTACCGTAGGCCTCAAAGAAGTGCAATTATCCCCTTGCAGTCTCTACAAAAAGAGTGTTTCAAACCTGAACTATCAAAGAAAGGTTCCACACTGTGAGTTGAATGCAGACATCACGAAGAAATTCTGAGAATGCTTCTGTTTAGTCAGCTGAAATTATCCCGTTTCCAACGAATTCCTCACAGAGGTCCAAATATGCACTTGCAGATTCTGCAGAAAGTGTGTTTCTAAACTGCTACATCGCAAGGAATGCTCAGCTCTGTGAGTTCAACTCAATCATCCCAAAGAATTTTCTGAGAAAGCTTCTGTCTAGATGTCATGTGAAGATATACCCGTTTCGAACGAAGGACACAGAGTGGTCCAAATATCCACTTGTAGATCCTGCAAAAAGAGTGTTTCAAACGTGAACTTTGAAAGGAAAGTTCAACTCTGGGATTTGAATGCAAACATCACAAAGAAGATTCTGAGACTGCTTCTGTATAGTTTTTATGTGAAGATGATTCCGTTTCCAACGAAATCTTCAAAGTAGGTCTACATGTCCCCTTGCGGATGCCACAGAAAGAGAGTTTCAAAACTGCGCTCTCAAAAGGAGTGTTCAACTCCGTGAGTTGAATGCAGTCATCACAGAGAAGCTTCTGAGAATGCTTCTATCTAGTATTTAGGTGAAGATATTTCCTTTTCCACCACAAACCACAAAGCCCTCCAAACGTCCACTTGCAGATTCTAGAAAAACAGTGTTTCATAGCTGCTCTTTCCAAAGGAAAGTTCAACTCTGGGAGTTGAATACAAACATCACCAAAAAGTTCCTGAGAATGCATTCTGTCTAGTTTTTCTATGAAGCTATTCCCTTTACTACCATAGGCCTCAAAGCGCTCCAAATCTCCACTTGCACATTCCACAACAAGAGTGTTTCCAAACTGCTCTATCAATAGGAATGGTCAACTCTGTGAGGTGAATGCAATCATCACAAAGCAGTTTCTGAGAATGCTTCCGTTTAGTTAGGTGCAGTTATCCCGTTTCCAACGAAATCCTCAGAGAGGTCCAAATATCCACTTGTAGATTCTACAAAAAGTGTGTCTCAAACCTGCTCCATCCAAAGGAATGGTCAGCTCTGTGATTTAAACTCAATCATCACAAAGTATTTTCTGAGAATGCTTCTGTCTAGATTTTATGCGAAGATATACCCGTTTCGAACGAAGGCCACAGAGTGGTCCAAATAGCCACTTGCAGATCCTACAGAAAGAGTGTTTCAAACCTGAACTATCAAAGGAAGGTTCAACTCTGGGATTTGAATGCAAACATCACCAAGAAGTTTCTGAGAATGCTTCTGTTTAGTTTTTATGTGAAGATATTCCCGTTTCCAAAGACATCTTCGGAGAGGTCCACATATCCACTTGCAGATTCCACAAAAAGAGAGTTTCAACACTGCTCTATCCATAGGAGGGTTCAACTCTGTGAGTTGAATGCAATCATCACAGAGAAGTTTCTGAGAAGGCTTCTCTCCAGTTTTTATGTGACCATAATTCGTTTTCCACCACAGGCCTGAAAGCGCTCCAAATGTCCACTTGCAGACACTACGAAAAGCATGTTTCAGAACTACTCTATGAAAAGCAATGTGAAACTCTGGGAGTTGAACACAAACATCACAGAGAAGTTTCTGAGAATGCTTCTGTTTTAGTTCTGTGCGTTTTATCCCGTTTCCAACGAAATCCTCAGAGAGGCCCAAATATCCACTTGCAGATTCCACAGAAAGAGTGATTGGAAACTGCTGTTTGAAAAGGAACCTTCAACTCTGTGAGTTGAATGCAATCATCACAAAGAAGTTTCTGACAATGCTTCTATCTAGCTTATACGGGAAGATAATTCATTTTCCACCACAGGCCTCAAAGCCCTCCAAATGTCCACTTGCAGATTCTGGAAAAAGAGTGTTTCAAAGCTTCTCTCTCGAAAGGAAAGTTCAACTCTGTGAGTTGAATACAAGCATCACAAAGAAGTTTCTGAGAATGCTACTGTCTAGCTTTTATATGAAGCTATTTCCTTTACTACCATAGGCCTCAAAGCGGTCCATATCTCCACTTGCAGATTCTACACAAAGAGAGTTTCCAAACTGCCCTGTCAAAGGGAATGTTCAACTCTGTGACTTGAATGCAATCATCACAAAGTAGTTTCTGAGAATGCTTCTGTTTTAGTTCTGTGCGGTTTATCCCGTTTCCAACGAAATCCTCAGAGAGGCCCACATATCCACTTGCAGATTCTACAAATAGTGTGTTTTGAAACTGCTCCATCCAAAGGAATGTTCAGCTCTGTGAGTTAAACTCAGTCGTCACCAAGAGTTTTCTGTGAATGCTTCTGTTTTAGTTCTGTGCGGTTTATCCCGTTTCCAACGAAATCCTCAGAGAGGTCCAAATATCTACTTGCAGTTTCTACAGAAAGACCGTTTCCAACCTGAACTATCAAAGAAAGGTTCAACACTGTGAGTTGAATGCAAACATCACGAAGAAGGTTCTGAGAATGCTTCTGTTTAGTTCTGTGCAGTTTATCCCGTTTCCAACGAAATGCTCAGAGAGGACCAAATATCCACTTGCAGTTTCTACAAAAAGAGTGTTTCAAAGCTGAACTATCAAAGAAAGGTTCAGCACTGTGAGTTGAATGCAAACATCACGAAGAGGGTTCTGAGAATGCTTCTGTCTTCTTTCTATAGGAAGTTATTTCCTTTACTACGGTAGGCCTCAAAGAAGTGCAATTATCCCCTTGCAGTTTCTACAAAAAGAGTGTTTCAAACCTGAACTATCAAAGAAAGGTTCCACACTGTGAGTTGAATGCAGACATCACGAAGAAGGTTCTGAGAATGCTTCTGTTTAGTCAGCTGAAATTATCCCGTTTCCAACGAATTCCTCGGAGAGGTCCAAATATGCACTTGCAGATTCTGCAGAAAGTGTGTTTCTAAACTGCTACATCGCAAGGAATGTTCAGCTCTGTGAGTTCCACTCAATCATCCCAAAGAATTTTCTGAGAAAGCTTCTGTCTAGATGTCCTGTGAAGATATACCCGTTTCGAACGAAGGACACAGAGTGGTCCAAATATCCACTTGTAGATCCTGCAAAAAGAGTGTTTCAAACGTGAACTTTGAAAGGAAAGTTCAACTCTGGGATTTGAATGCAAACATCACAAAGAAGATTCTGAGACTGCTTCTGTATAGTTTTTATGTGAAGATGATTCCGTTTCCAACGAAATCTTCAAAGAGGTCTACATGTCCCCTTGCAGATGCCACAGAAAGAGAGTTTCAAAACTGCGCTCTCAAAAGGAGTGTTCAACTCCGTGAGTTGAATGCAGTCATCACAGAGAAGCTTCTGAGAATGCTTCTATCTAGTATTTAGGTGAAGATATTTCCTTTTCCACCACAAACCACAAAGCCCTCCAAACGTCCACTTGCAGATTCTAGAAAAAGAGTGTTTCATAGCTGCTCTTTCCAAAGGAAAGTTCAACTCTGGGAGTTGAATACAAACATCACCAAAAAGTTCCTGAGAATGCATCTGTCTAGTTTTTCTATGAAGCTATTCCCTTTACTACCATAGGCCTCAAAGCGCTCCAAATCTCCACTTGCACATTCCACAACAAGAGTGTTTCCAAACTGCTCTATCAATAGGAATGTTCAACTCTGTGAGGTGAATGCAATCATCACAAAGCAGTTTCTGAGAATGCTTCCGTTTAGTTAGGTGCAGTTATCCCGTTTCCAACGAAATCCTCAGAGAGGTCCAAATATCCACTTGTAGATTCTACAAAAAGTGTGTCTCAAACCTGCTCCATCCAAAGGAATGTTCAGCTCTGTGATTTAAACTCAATCATCACAAAGTATTTTCTGAGAATGCTTCTGTCTAGATTTTATGCGAAGATATACCCGTTTCGAACGAAGGCCACAGAGTGGTCCAAATAGCCACTTGCAGATCCTACAGAAAGAGTGTTTCAAACCTGAACTATCAAAGGAAGGTTCAACTCTGGGATTTGAATGCAAACATCACCAAGAAGTTTCTGAGAATGCTTCTGTTTAGTTTTTATGTGAAGATATTCCCGTTTCCAAAGACATCTTCGGAGAGGTCCACATATCCACTTGCAGATTCCACAAAAAGAGAGTTTCAACACTGCTCTATCCATAGGAGGGTTCAACTCTGTGAGTTGAATGCAATCATCACAGAGAAGTTTCTGAGAAGGCTTCTCTCCAGTTTTTATGTGACCATAATTCGTTTTCCACCACAGGCCTGAAAGCGCTCCAAATGTCCACTTGCAGACACTACGAAAAGCATGTTTCAGAACTACTCTATGAAAAGCAACGTGAAACTCTGGGAGTTGAACACAAACATCACAGAGAAGTTTCTGAGAATGCTTCTGTTTAGCTTTTCTGTGAATGTTCTCCCGTTTCCAACGAAATCTTCAAAGAGGTCGAAATATCCACTTGCAGATTCCACAGAAAGAGTGATTGGAAACTGCTGTTTGAAAAGGAACCTTCAACTCTGTGAGTTGAATGCAATCATCACAAAGAAGTTTCTGACAATGCTTCTATCTAGCTTTCACGGGAAGATAATTCCTTTTCCACCACAGGCCTCAAAGCCCTCCAAATGTCCACTTGCACATTCTGGAAAAAGAGTGTTTCAAAGCTTCTCTCTCGAAAGGAAAGTTCAACTCTGTGAGTTGAATGCAAGCATCACAAAGAAGTTTCTGAGAATGCTACTGTCTAGCTTTTATATGAAGGTATTTCCTTTACTACCATAGGCCTCAAAGCGGTCCATATCTCCACTTGCAGATTCTACACAAAGAGAGTTTCCAAACTGCTCTGTCAAAGGGAATGTTCAACTCTGTGACTTGAATGCAATCATCACAAAGTAGTTTCTGAGAATGCTTCTGTTTTAGTTCTGTGCGGTTTATCCCGTTTCCAACGAAATCCTCAGAGAGGCCCAAATATCCACTTGCAGATTCTACAAATAGTGTGTTTCGAAACTGCTCCATCCAAAGGAATGTTCAGCTCTGTGAGTTAAACTCAGTCGTCACCAAGAGTTTTCTGTGAATGCTTCTGTTTTAGTTCTGTGCGGGTTATCCCGTTTCCAACGAAATCCTCAGAGCGGTCCAAATATCTACTTGCAGTTTCTGCAGAAAGACCGTTTCAAACCTGAACTATCAAAGAAAGGTTCAACACTGTGAGTTGAATGCAAACATCACGAAGAAGGTTCTGAGAATGCTTCTGTTTTAGTTCTGTGCGGTTTATCCCGTTTCCAACGAAATCCTCAGAGAGGACCAAACATCCACTTGCAGTTTCTACAAAAAGAGTGTTTCAAAGCTGCACTATCAAAGAAAGGTTCAGCACTGTGAGTTGAATGCAAACATCACGAAGAGGGCTCTGAGAATTCTTCTGTCTTCTTTCTATAGGAAGTTATTTCCTTTACTACGGTAGGCCTCAAAGAAGTGCAATTATCCCCTTGCAGTTTCTACAAAAAGAGTGTTTCAAACCTGAACTATCAAAGAAAGGTTCCACACTGTGAGTTGAATGCAGACATCACGAAGAAGGTTCTGAGAATGCTTCTGTTTAGTCAGCTGAAATTATCCCGTTTCCAACGAATTCCTCAGAGAGGTCCAAATATGCACTTGCAGATTCTGCAGAAAGTGTGTTTCTAAACTGCTACATCGCAAGGAATGTTCAGCTCTGTGAGTTCCACTCAATCATCCCAAAGAATTTTCTGAGAAAGCTTCTGTCTAGATGTCGTGTGAAGATATACCCGTTTCGAACGAAGGACACAGAGTGGTCCAAATATCCACTTGTAGATCCTGCAAAAAGAGTGTTTCAAACGTGAACTTTGAAAGGAAAGTTCAACTCTGGGATTTGAATGCAAACATCACAAAGAAGATTCTGAGACTGCTTCTGTATAGTTTTTATGTGAAGATGATTCCGTTTCCAACGAAATCTTCAAAGAGGTCTACATGTCCCCTTGCAGATGCCACAGAAAGAGAGTTTCAAAACTGCGCTCTCAAAAGGAGTGTTCAACTCCGTGAGTTGAATGCAGTCATCACAGAGAAGCTTCTGAGAATGCTTCTATCTAGTATTTAGGTGAAGATATTTCCTTTTCCACCACAAACCACAAAGCCCTCCAAACGTCCACTTGCAGATTCTAGAAAAAGAGTGTTTCATAGCTGCTCTTTCCAAAGGAAAGTTCAACTCTGGGAGTTGAATACAAACATCACCAAAAAGTTCCTGAGAATGCATCTGTCTAGTTTTTCTATGAAGCTATTCCCTTTACTACCACAGGCCTCAAAGCGCTCCAAATCTCCACTTGCACATTCCGCAACAAGAGTGTTTCCAAACTGCTCTATCAATAGGAATGTTCAACTCTGTGAGGTGAATGCAATCATCACAAAGCAGTTTCTGAGAATGCTTCCGTTTAGTTAGGTGCAGTTATCCCGTTTCCAACGAAATCCTCAGAGAGGTCCAAATATCCACTTGTAGATTCTACAAAAAGTGTGTCTCAAACCTGCTCCATCCAAAGGAATGGTCAGCTCTGTGATTTAAACTCAATCATCACAAAGTATTTTCTGAGAATGCTTCTGTCTAGATTTTATGCGAAGATGTACCCGTTTCGAACGAAGGCCACAGAGTGGTCCAAATATCCACTTGCAGATCCTACAAAAAGAGTGTTTCAAACCTGAACTCTCAAAGGAAGGTTCAACTCTGGGATTTGAATGCAAACATCACCAAGAAGTTTCTGAGAATGCTTCTGTTTAGTTTTTATGTGAAGATATTCCCGTTGCCAAAGACATCTTCGGAGAGGTCCACATATCCGCTTGCAGATTCCACAAAAAGAGAGTTTCAACACTGCTCTATCCATAGGAGGGTTCAACTCTGTGAGTTGAATGCAATCATCACAGAGAAGTTTCTGAGAAGGCTTCTCTCCAGTTTTTATGTGACCATAATTCGTTTTCCACCACAGGCCTGAAAGCGCTCCAAATGTCCACTTGCAGACACTACGAAAAGCATGTTTCAGAACTACTCTATGAGAAGCAATGTGAAACTCTGGGAGTTGAACACAAACATCACAGAGAAGTTTCTGAGAATGCTTCTGTTTAGCTTTTCTGTGAAGATTCTCCCGTTTCCAACGAAATCTTCAAAGAGGTCCAAATATCCACTTGCAGATTCCACAGAAAGAGTGATTGGAAACTGCTCTTTGAAAAGGAACCTTCAACTCTGTGACTTGTATGCAATCATCACAAAGAAGTTTCTGACAATGCTTCTATCTAGCTTTTACGGGAAGATAATTCCTTTTCCACCACAGGCCTCAAAGCCCTCCAAATCTCCACTTGCACATTCTGGAAAAAGAGTGTTTCAAAGCTTCTCTCTCGAAAGGAAAGTTCAACTCTGTGAGTTGAATGCAAGCATCACAAAGAAGTTTCTGAGAATGCTACTGTCTAGGTTTTATATGAAGCTATTTCCTTTACTACCATAGGCCTCAAAGCGGTCCATATCTCCACTTGCAGATTCTACACAAAGAGAGTTTCCAAACTGCTCTGTCAAACGGAATGTTCAACTCTGTGACTTGAATGCAATCATCACAAAGTAGTTTCTGAGAATGCTTCTGTTTTACTTCTGTGCGTTTTATCCCGTTTCCAACGAAATCCTCAGAGAGGCCCAAATATCCACTTGCAGATTCTACAAATAGTGTGTTTCGAAACTGCTCCATCCAAAGGAATGTTCAGCTCTGTGAGTTAAACTCAGTCGTCACCAAGAGTTTTCTGTGAATGCTTCTGTTTAGTTCTGTGCGGTTTATCCCGTTTCCAACGAAATCCTCAGAGAGGACCAAATATCCACTTGCAGTTTCTACAAGAAGAGTGTTTCAAAGCTGCACTATCAAAGAAAGGTTCAGCACTGTGAGTTGAATGCAAACATCACGAAGAGGGCTCTGAGAATGCTTCTGTCTTCTTTCTATAGGAAGTTATTTCCTTTACTACGGTAGGCCTCAAAGAAGTGCAATTATCCCCTTGCAGTTTCTACAAAAAGAGTGTTTCAAACCTGAACTATCAAAGAAAGGGTTCCACACTGTGAGTTGAATGCAGACATCACGAAGAAGGTTCTGAGAATGCTTCTGTTTAGTCAGCTGAAATTATCCCGTTTCCAACGAATTCCTCAGAGAGGTCCAAATATGCACTTGCAGATTCTGCAGAAAGTGTGTTTCTAAACTGCTACATTGCAAGGAATGTTCAGCTCTGTGAGTTCCACTCTATCATCCCAAAGAATTTTCTGAGAAAGCTTCTGTCTAGATGTCATGTGAAGATACACCCGTTTCAAACGAAGGACACAGAGTGGTCCAAATATCCACTTGTAGATCCTGCAAAAAGAGTGTTTCAAACGTGAACTTTGAAAGGAAAGTTCAACTCTGGGATTTGAATGCAAACATCACAAAGAAGATTCTGAGACTGCTTCTGTATAGTTTTTATGTGAAGATGATTCCGTTTCCAACGAAATCTTCAAAGAGGTCTACATGTCCCCTTGCAGATGCCACAGAAACAGAGTTTCAAAACTGCGCTCTCAAAAGGAGTGTTCAAATCCGTGAGTTGAATGCAGTCATCACAGAGAAGCTTCTGAGAATGCTTCTATCTAGTATTTAGGTGAAGATATTTCCTTTTCCACCACAAACCACAAAGCCCTCCAAACGTCCACTTGCAGATTCTAGAAAAAGAGTGTTTCATAGCTGCTCTTTCCAAAGGAAAGTTCAACTCTGGGAGTTGAATACAAACATCACCAAAAAGTTCCTGAGAATGCATCTGTCTAGTTTTTCTATGAAGCTATTCCCTTTACTACCATAGGCCTCAAAGCGCTCCAAATCTCCACTTGCACATTCCACAACAAGAGTGTTTCCAAACTGCTCTATCAATAGGAATGTTCAACTCTGTGAGGTGAATGCAATCATCACAAAGCAGTTTCTGAGAATGCTTCCGTTTAGTTAGGTGCAGTTATCCCGTTTCCAACGAAATCCTCAGAGAGGTCCAAATATCCACTTGTAGGTTCTACAAAAAGTGTGTCTCAAACCTGCTCCATCCAAAGGAATGTTCAGCTCTGTGAGTTCAACTCAATCATCACAAAGTATTTTCTGAGAATGCTTCTGTCTAGATTTTATGCGAAGATATACCCGTTTCGAACGAAGGCCACAGAGTGGTCCAAATATCCACTTGCAGATCCTACAAAAAGAGTGTTTCAAACCTGAACTATCAAAGGAAGGTTCAACTCTGGGATTTGAATGCAAACATCACCAAGAAGTTTCTGAGAATGCTTCTGTTTAGTTTTTATGTGAAGATATTCCCGTTGCCAAAGACATCTTCGGAGAGGTCCACATATCCACTTGCAGATTCCACAAAAAGAGAGTTTCAACACTGCTCTATCCATAGGAGGGTTCAACTCTGTGAGTTGAATGCAATCATCACATAGAAGTTTCTGAGAAGGCTTCTCTCCAGTTTTTATGTGACCATAATTCGTTTTCCACCACAGGCCTGAAAGCGCTCCAAATGTCCACTTGTAGACACTACGAAAAGCATGTTTCAGAACTACTCTATGAAAAGCAATGTGAAACTCTGGGAGTTGAACACAAACATCACAGAGAAGTTTCTGAGAATGCTTCTGTTTTAGTTCTGTGCGTTTTATCCCGTTTCCAACGAAATCCTCAGAGAGGCCCAAATATCCACTTGCAGATTCCACAGAAAGAGTGATTGGAAACTGCTGTTTGAAAAGGAACCTTCAACTCTGTGAGTTGAATGCAATCATCACAAAGAAGTTTCTGACAATGCTTCTATCTAGCTTTTACGGGAAGATAATTCCTTTTCCACCACAGGCCTCAAAGCTCCCCAAATGTCCACTTGCACATTCTGGAAAAAGAGTGTTTCAAAGCTTCTCTCTCGAAAGGAAAGTTCAACTCTGTGAGTTGAATGCAAGCATCACAAAGAAGTTTCTGAGAATGCTACTGTCTAGCTTTTATATGAAGCTATTTCCTTTACTACCATAGGCCTCAAAGCGGTCCATATCTCCACTTGCAGATTCTACACAAAGAGAGTTTCCAAACTGCTCTGTCAAAGGGAATGTTCAACTCTGTGACTTGAATGCAATCATCACAAAGTAGTTTCTGAGAATGCTTCTGTTTTAGTTCTGTGCGTTTTATCCCGTTTCCAACGAAATCCTCAGAGAGGCCCAAATATCCACTTGCAGATTCTACAAATAGTGTGTTTCGAAACTGCTCCATCCAAAGGAATGTTCAGCTCTGTGAGTTAAACTCAGTCGTCACCAAGAGTTTTCTGTGAATGCTTCTGTTTTAGTTCTGTGCGGGTTATCCCGTTTCCAACGAAATCCTCAGAGAGGTCCAAATATCTACTTGCAGTTTCTACAGAAAGACCGTTTCAAACCTGAACTATCAAAGAAAGGTTCAACACTGTGAGTTGAATGCAAACATCACGAAGAAGGTTCTGAGAATGCTTCTGTTTTAGTTCTGTGCGGTTTATCCCGTTTCCAACGAAATCCTCAGAGAGGACCAAACATCCACTTGCAGTTTCTACAAAAAGAGTGTTTCGAAGCTGCACTATCAAAGAAAGGTTCAGCACTGTGAGTTGAATGCAAACATCACGAAGAGGGCTCTGAGAATTCTTCTGTCTTCTTTCTATAGGAAGTTATTTCCTTTACTACGGTAGGCCTCAAAGAAGTGCAATTATCCCCTTGCAGTTTCTACAAAAAGAGTGTTTCAAACCTGAACTATCAAAGAAAGGTTCCACACTGTGAGTTGAATGCAGACATCACGAAGAAGGTTCTGAGAATGCTTCTGTTTAGTCAGCTGAAATTATCCCGTTTCCAACGAATTCCTCAGAGAGGTCCAAATATGCACTTGCAGATTCTGCAGAAAGTGTGTTTCTAAACTGCTACATCGCAAGGAATGTTCAGCTCTGTGAGTTCCACTCAATCATCCCAAAGAATTTTCTGAGAAAGCTTCTGTCTAGATGTCGTGTGAAGATATACCCGTTTCGAACGAAGGACACAGAGTGGTCCAAATATCCACTTGTAGATCCTGCAAAAAGAGTGTTTCAAACGTGAACTTTGAAAGGAAAGTTCAACTCTGGGATTTGAATGCAAACATCACAAAGAAGATTCTGAGACTGCTTCTGTATAGTTTTTATGTGAAGATGATTCCGTTTCCAACGAAATCTTCAAAGAGGTCTACATGTCCCCTTGCAGATGCCACAGAAAGAGAGTTTCAAAACTGCGCTCTCAAAAGGAGTGTTCAACTCCGTGAGTTGAATGCAGTCATCACAGAGAAGCTTCTGAGAATGCTTCTATCTAGTATTTAGGTGAAGATATTTCCTTTTCCACCACAAACCACAAAGCCCTCCAAACGTCCACTTGCAGATTCTAGAAAAAGAGTGTTTCATAGCTGCTCTTTCCAAAGGAAAGTTCAACTCTGGGAGTTGAATACAAACATCACCAAAAAGTTCCTGAGAATGCATCTGTCTAGTTTTTCTATGAAGCTATTCCCTTTACTACCATAGGCCTCAAAGCGCTCCAAATCTCCACTTGCACATTCCACAACAAGAGTGTTTCCAAACTGCTCTATCAATAGGAATGTTCAACTCTGTGAGGTGAATGCAATCATCACAAAGCAGTTTCTGAGAATGCTTCCGTTTAGTTAGGTGCAGTTATCCCGTTTCCAACGAAATCCTCAGAGAGGTCCAAATATCCACTTGTAGATTCTACAAAAAGTGTGTCTCAAACCTGCTCCATCCAAAGGAATGGTCAGCTCTGTGATTTAAACTCAATCATCACAAAGTATTTTCTGAGAATGCTTCTGTCTAGATTTTATGCGAAGATATACCCGTTTCGAACGAAGGCCACAGAGTGGTCCAAATAGCCACTTGCAGATCCTACAGAAAGAGTGTTTCAAACCTGAACTATCAAAGGAAGGTTCAACTCTGGGATTTGAATGCAAACATCACCAAGAAGTTTCTGAGAATGCTTCTGTTTAGTTTTTATGTGAAGATATTCCCGTTTCCAAAGACATCTTCGGAGAGGTCCACATATCCACTTGCAGATTCCACAAAAAGAGAGTTTCAACACTGCTCTACCCATAGGAGGGTTCAACTCTGTGAGTTGAATGCAATCATCACAGAGAAGTTTCTGAGAAGGCTTCTCTCCAGTTTTTATGTGACCATAATTCGTTTTCCACCACAGGCCTGAAAGCGCTCCAAATGTCCACTTGTAGACACTACGAAAAGCATGTTTCAGAACTACTCTATGAAAAGCAATGTGAAACTCTGGGAGTTGAACACAAACATCACAGAGAAGTTTCTGAGAATGCTTCTGTTTTAGTTCTGTGCGTTTTATCCCGTTTCCAACGAAATCCTCAGAGAGGCCCAAATATCCACTTGCAGATTCCACAGAAAGAGTGATTGGAAACTGCTGTTTGAAAAGGAACCTTCAACTCTGTGAGTTGAATGCAATCATCACAAAGAAGTTTCTGACAATGCTTCTATCTAGCTTTTACGGGAAGATAATTCCTTTTCCACCACAGGCCTCAAAGCCCTCCAAATGTCCACTTGAAGATTCTGGAAAAAGAGTGTTTCAAAGCTTCTCTCTCGAAAGGAAAGTTCAACTCTGTGAGTTGAATGCAAGCATCACAATGAAGTTTCTGAGAATGCTACTGTCTAGCTTTTATATGAAGCTATTTCCTTTACTACCATAGGCCTCAAAGCGGTCCATATCTCCACTTGCAGATTCTACACAAAGAGAGTTTCCAAACTGCTCTGTCAAAGGGAATGTTCAACTCTGTGACTTGAATGCAATCATCACAAAGTAGTTTCTGAGAATGCTTCCGTTTAGTTCTGTGCGGTTTATCCCGTTTCCAACGAAATCCTCAGAGAGGCCCACATATCCACTTGCACATTCTACAAATAGTGTGTTTCGAAACTGCTCCATCCAAAGGAAATGTTCAGCTCTGTGAGTTAAACTCAGTCGTCACCAAGAGTTTTCTCTGAATGCTTCTGTTTTAGTTCTGTGCGGTTTATCCCGTTTCCAACGAAATCCTCAGAGAGGTCCAAATATCTACTTGCAGTTTCTACAGAAAGACCGTTTCAAACCTGAACTATCAAAGAAAGGTTCAACACTGTGATTTGAATGCAAACATCACGAAGAAGGTTCTGAGAATGCTTCTGTTTAGTTCTGTGCGGTTTATCCCGTTTCCAACGAAATCCTCAGAGAGGACCAAATATCCACTTGCAGTTTCTACAAGAAGAGTGTTTCAAAGCTGAACTATCAAAGAAAGGTTCAGCACTGTGAGTTGAATGCAAACATCACGAAGAGGGTTCTGAGAATGCTTCTGTCTTCTTTTTATAGGAAGTTATTTCCTTTACTACGGTAGGCCTCAAAGAAGTGCAATTATCCCCTTGCAGTTTCTACAAAAAGAGTGTTTCAAACCTGAACTATCAAAGAAAGGTTCCACACTGTGAGTTGAATGCAGACATCACGAAGAAGGTTCTGAGAATGCTTCGGTTTAGTCAGCTGAAATTATCCCGTTTCCAACGAATTCCTCAGAGAGGTCCAAATATGCACTTGCAGATTCTGCAGAAAGTGTGTTTCTAAACTGCTACATCGCAAGGAATGTTCAGCTCTCTGAGTTCAACTCAATCATCCCAAAGAATTTTCTGAGAAAGCTTCTGTCTAGATGTCATGTGAAGATATACCCGTTTCGAACGAAGGACACAGAGTGGTCCAAATATCCACTTGTAGATCCTGCAAAAAGAGTGTTTCAAACGTGAACTTTGAAAGGAAAGTTCAACTCTGGGATTTGAATGCAAACACCACAAAGAAGATTCTGAGACTGCTTCTGTATAGTTTTTATGTGAAGATGATTCCGTTTCCAACGAAATCTTCAAAGAGGTCTACATGTCCCCTTGCAGATGCCACAGAAAGAGAGTTTCAAAACTGCGCTCTCAAAAGGAGTGTTCAACTCCGTGAGTTGAATGCAGTCATCACAGAGAAGCTTCTGAGAATGCTTCTATCTAGTATTTAGGTGAAGATATTTCCTTTTCCACCACAAACCACAAAGCCCTCCAAACGTCCACTTGCAGATTCTAGAAAAAGAGTGTTTCATAGCTGCTCTTTCCAAAGGAAAGTTCAACTCTGGGAGTTGAATACAAACATCACCAAAAAGTTCCTGAGAATGCATCTGTCTAGTTTTTCTATGAAGCTATTCCCTTTACTACCATAGGCCTCAAAGCGCTCCAAATCTCCACTTGCACATTCCACAACAAGAGTGTTTCCAAACTGCTCTATCAATAGGAATGTTCAACTCTGTGAGGTGAATGCAATCATCACAAAGCAGTTTCTGAGAATGCTTCCGTTTAGTTAGGTGCAGTTATCCCGTTTCCAACGAAATCCTCAGAGAGGTCCAAATATCCACTTGTAGATTCTACAAAAAGTGTGTCTCAAACCTGCTCCATCCAAAGGAATGGTCAGCTCTGTGATTTAAACTCAATCATCACAAAGTATTTTCTGAGAATGCTTCTGTCTAGATTTTATGCGAAGATATACCCGTTTCGAACGAAGGCCACAGAGTGGTCCAAATAGCCACTTGCAGATCCTACAGAAAGAGTGTTTCAAACCTGAACTATCAAAGGAAGGTTCAACTCTGGGATTTGAATGCAAACATCACCAAGAAGTTTCTGAGAATGCTTCTGTTTAGTTTTTATGTGAAGATATTCCCGTTTCCAAAGACATCTTCGGAGAGGTCCACATATCCACTTGCAGATTCCACAAAAAGAGAGTTTCAACACTGCTCTATCCATAGGAGGGTTCAACTCTGTGAGTTGAATGCAATCATCACAGAGAAGTTTCTGAGAAGGCTTCTCTCCAGTTTTTATGTGACCATAATTCGTTTTCCACCACAGGCCTGAAAGCGCTCCAAATGTCCACTTGTAGACACTACGAAAAGCATGTTTCAGAACTACTCTATGAAAAGCAATGTGAAACTCTGGGAGTTGAACACAAACATCACAGAGAAGTTTCTGAGAATGCTTCTGTTTAGCTTTCCTGTGAAGATTCTCCCGTTTCCAACGAAATCTTCAAAATAGGTCCAAATATCCACTTGCAGATTCCACAGAAAGAGTGATTGGAAACTGCTCTTTGAAAAGGAACCTTCAACTCTGTGAGTTGAATGCAATCATCACAAAGAAGTTTCTGACAATGCTTCTATCTAGCTTTTACGGGAAGATAATTCCTTTTCCACCACAGGCCTCAAAGCCCTCCAAATATCCACTTGCAGATTCTGGAAAAAGAGTGTTTCAAAGCTTCTCTCTCGAAAGGAAAGTTCAACTCTGTGAGTTGAATGCAAGCATCACAAAGAAGTTTCTGAGAATGCTCTGTCTAGCTTTTATATGAAGCTATTTCCTTTACTACCATAGGCCTCAAAGCGGTCCATATCTCCACTTGCAGATTCTACACAAAGAGAGTTTCCAAACTGCTCTGTCAAAGGGAATGTTCAACTCTGTGACTTGAATGCAATCATCACAAAATAGTTTCTGAGAATGCTTTCTGTTTAGTTCTGTGCGGTTTATCCCGTTTCCAACGAAATCCTCAGAGAGGCCTAAATATCCACTTGCACATTCTACAAATAGTGTGTTTCGAAACTGCTCCATCCAAAGGAATGTTCAGCTCTGTGAGTTAAACTCAGTCGTCACCAAGAGTTTTCTGTGAATGCTTCTGTTTTAGTTCTGTGCGGTTTATCCCGTTTCCAACGAAATCCTCAGAGAGGTCCAAATATCCACTTGCAGATTCTACAAAGAGTGTGTTTCGAAACTGCTCCATCCAAAGGAATGTTCAGCTCTGTGAGTTAAACTCAGTCGTCACCAAGAGTTTTCTGTGAATGCTTCTGTTTAGTTCTGTGCGGTTTATCCCGTTTCCAACGAAATCCTCAGAGAGCACCAAATATCCACTTGCAGTTTCTACAAAAAGAGTGTTTCAAAACTGAACTATCAAAGAAAGGTTCAGCACTGTGAGTTGAATGCAAACATCACGAAGAAGGTTCTGAGAATGCTTCTGTCTTCTTTCTATAGGAAGTTATTTCCTTTACTACGGTAGGCCTCAAAGAAGTGCAATTATCCCCTTGCAGTTTCTACAAAAAGAGTGTTTCAAACCTGAACTATCAAAGAAAGGTTCCACACTGTGAGTTGAATGCAGACATCACGAAGAAGGTTCTGAGAATGCTTCTGTTTAGTCAGCTGAAATTATCCCGTTTCCAACGAATTCCTCAGAGAGGTCCAAATATGCACTTGCAGATTCTGCAGAAAGTGTGTTTCTAAACTGCTCCATCGCAAGGAATGTTCAGCTCTGTGAGTTCCACTCAATCATCCCAAAGAATTTTCTGAGAAAGCTTCTGTCTAGATGTCATGTGAAGATATACCCGTTTCGAACGAAGGACACAGAGTGGTCCAAATATCCACTTGTAGATCCTGCAAAAAGAGTGTTTCAAACGTGAACTTTGAAAGGAAAGTTCAACTCGGGGATTTGAATGCAAACATCACAAAGAAGATTCTGAGACTGCTTCTGTATAGTTTTTATGTGAAGATGATTCCGTTTCCAACGAAATCTTCAAAGAGGTCTACATGTCCCCTTGCAGATGCCACAGAAAGAGAGTTTCAAAACTGCGCTCTCAAAAGGAGTGTTCAACTCCGTGAGTTGAATGCAGTCATCACAGAGAAGCTTCTGAGAATGCTTCTATCTAGTATTTAGGTGAAGATATTTCCTTTTCCACCACAAACCACAAAGCCCTACAAACGTCCACTTGCAGATTCTAGAAAAAGAGTGTTTCATAGCTGCTCTTTCCAAAGGAAAGTTCAACTCTGGGAGTTGAATACAAACATCACCAAAAAGTTCCTGAGAATGCATCTGTCTAGTTTTTCTATGAAGCTATTCCCTTTACTACCATAGGCCTCAAAGCGCTCCAAATCTCCACTTGCACATTCCACAACAAGAGTGTTTCCAAACTGCTCTATCAATAGGAATGTTCAACTCTGTGAGGTGAATGCAATCATGACAAAGCAGTTTCTGAGAATGCTTCCGTTTAGTTAGGTGCAGTTATCCCGTTTCCAACGAAATCCTCAGAGAGGTCCAAATATCCACTTGTAGATTCTACAAAAAGTGTGTCTCAAACCTGCTCCATCCAAAGGAATGTTCAGCTCTGTGAGTTCAACTCAGTCATCAAAAAGTATTTTCTGAGAATGCTTCTGTCTAGATTTTATGCGAAGATGTACCCGTTTCGAACGAAGGCCACAGAGTGGTCCAAATATCCACTTGCAGATCCTACAAAAAGAGTGTTTCAAACCTGAACTCTCAAAGGAAGGTTCAACTCTGGGATTTGAATGCAAACATCACGAAGAAGTTTCTGAGAATGCTTCTGTTTAGTTTTTATGTGAAGATATTCCCGTTGCCAAAGACATCTTCGGAGAGGTCCACATATCCGCTTGCAGATTCCACAAAAAGAGAGTTTCAACACTGCTCTATCCATAGGAGGGTTCAACTCTGTGAGTTGAATGCAATCATCACAGAGAAGTTTCTGAGAAGGCTTCTCTCCAGTTTTTATGTGACCATAATTCGTTTTCCACCACAGGACTGGAAGCGCTCCAAATGTCCACTTGTAGACACTACGAAAAGCATGTTTCAGAACTACTCTATGAAAAGCAATGTGAAAGTCTGGGAGTTGAACACAAACATCACAGAGAAGTTTCTGAGAATGCTTCTGTTTTAGTTCTGTGCGTTTTATCCCGTTTCCAACGAAATCCTCAGAGAGGCCCAAATATCCACTTGCAGATTCCACAGAAAGAGTGATTGGAAACTGCTGTTTGAAAAGGAACCTTCAACTCTGTGAGTTGAATGCAATCATCACAAAGAAGTTTCTGACAATGCTTCTATCTAGCTTTTACGGGAAGATAATTCCTTTTCCACCACAGGCCTCAAAGCCCTCCAAATGTCCACTTGCAGATTCTGGAAAAAGAGTGTTTCAAAGCTTCTCTCTCGAAAGGAAAGTTCAACTCTGTGAGTTGAATGCAAGCATCACAAAGAAGTTTCTGAGAATGCTACTGTTTAGCTTTTATATGAAGCTATTTCCTTTACTACCATAGTCCTCAAAGCGGTCCATATCTCCACTTGCAGATTCTACACAAAGAGAGTTTCCAAACTGCTCTGTCAAAGGGAATGTTCAACTCTGTGACTTGAATGCAATCATCACGAAGTAGTTTCTGAGAATGCTTCTGTTTAGTTCTGTGCGGTTTATCCCGTTTCCAACGAAATCCTCAGAGAGGCCCAAATATCCACTTGCACATTCTACAAATAGTGTGTTTCGAAACTGCTCCATCCAAAGGAATGTTCAGCTCTGTGAGTTAAACTCAGTCGTCACCAAGAGTTTTCTGTGAATGCTTCTGTTTTAGTTCTGTGCGGTTCATCCCGTTTCCAACGAAATCCTCAGAGAGGTCCAAATATCTACTTGCAGTTTCTACAGAAAGACCGTTTCAAACCTGAACTATGAAAGAAAGGTTCAACACTGTGAGTTGAATGCAAACATCACGAAGAAGGTTCTGAGAATGCTTCTGTTTAGTTCTGTGCGGTTTATCCCGTTTCCAACGAAATCCTCAGAGAGGACCAAATATCCACTTGCAGTTTCTACAAGAAGAGTGTTTCAAAGCTGAACTATCAAAGAAAGGTTCAGCACTGTGAGTTGAATGCAAACATCACGAAGAGGGTTCTGAGAATGCTTCTGTCTTCTTTCTATAGGAAGTTATTTCCTTTACTACGGTAGGCCTCAAAGAAGTGCAATTATCCCCTTGCAGTTTCTACAAAAAGAGTGTTTCAAACCTGAACTATCAAAGAAAGGTTCCACACTGTGAGTTGAATGCAGACATCACGAAGAAGGTTCTGAGAATGCTTCTGTTTAGTCAGCTGAAATTATCCCGTTTCCAACGAATTCCTCAGAGAGGTCCAAATATGCACTTGCAGATTCTGCAGAAAGTGTGTTTCTAAACTGCTACATCGCAAGGAATGTTCAGCTCTGTGAGTTCAACTCAATCAACCCAAAGAATTTTCTGAGAAAGCTTCTGTCTAGATGTCATGTGAAGATATACCCGTTTCGAACGAAGGACACAGAGTGGTCCAAATATCCACTTGTAGATCCTGCAAAAAGAGTGTTTCAAACGTGAACTTTGAAAGGAAAGTTCAACTCTGGGATTTGAATGCAAACATCACAAAGAAGATTCTGAGACTGCTTCTGTATAGTTTTTATGTGAAGATGATTCCGTTTCCAACGAAATCTTCAAAGAGGTCTACATGTCCCCTTGCAGATGCCACAGAAAGAGAGTTTCAAAACTGCGCTCTCAAAAGGAGTGTTCAACTCCCTGAGTTGAATGCAGTCATCACAGAGAAGCTTCTGAGAATGCTTCTATCTAGTATTTAGGTGAAGATATTTCCTTTTCCACCACAAACCACAAAGCCCTCCAAACGTCCACTTGCAGATTCTAGAAAAAGAGTGTTTCATAGCTGCTCTTTCCAAAGGAAAGTTCAACTCTGGGAGTTGAATACAAACATCACCAAAAAGTTCCTGAGAATGCATCTGTCTAGTTTTTCTATGAAGCTATTCCCTTTACTAACATAGGCCTCAAAGCGCTCCAAATCTCCACTTGCACATTCCACAACAAGAGTGTTTCCAAACTGCTCTATCAATAGGAATGTTCAACTCTGTGAGGTGAATGCAATCATCACAAAGCAGTTTCTGAGAATGCTTCCGTTTAGTTAGGTGCAGTTATCCCGTTTCCAACGAAATCCTCAGAGAGGTCCAAATATCCACTTGTAGATTCTACAAAAAGTGTGTCTCAAACCTGCTCCATCCAAAGGAATGGTCAGCTCTGTGATTTAAACTCAATCATCACAAAGTATTTTCTGAGAATGCTTCTGTCTAGATTTTATGCGAAGATATACCCGTTTCGAACGAAGGCCACAGAGTGGTCCAAATAGCCACTTGCAGATCCTACAGAAAGAGTGTTTCAAACCTGAACTATCAAAGGAAGGTTCAACTCTGGGATTTGAATGCAAACATCACCAAGAAGTTTCTGAGAATGCTTCTGTTTAGTTTTTATGTGAAGATATTCCCGTTTCCAAAGACATCTTCGGAGAGGTCCACATATCCACTTGCAGATTCCACAAAAAGAGAGTTTCAACACTGCTCTATCCATAGGAGGGTTCAACTCTGTGAGTTGAATGCAATCATCACAGAGAAGTTTCTGAGAAGGCTTCTCTCCAGTTTTTATGTGACCATAATTCGTTTTCCACCACAGGCCTGAAAGCGCTCCAAATGTCCACTTGCAGACACTACGAAAAGCATGTTTCAGAACTACTCTATGAAAAGCAACGTGAAACTCTGGGAGTTGAACACAAACATCACAGAGAAGTTTCTGAGAATGCTTCTGTTTAGCTTTTCTGTGAAGGTTCTCCCGTTTCCAACGAAATGTTCAAAGAGGTCGAAATATCCACTTGCAGATTCCACAGAAAGAGTGATTGGAAACTGCTGTTTGAAAAGGAACCTTCAACTCTGCGAGTTCAATGCAATCATCACAAAGAAGTTTCTGACAATGCTTCTATCTAGCTTTTACGGGAAGATAATTCCTTTTCCACCACAGGCCTCAAAGCCCTCCAAATGTCCACTTGCAGATTCTGGAAAAAGAGTGTTTCAAAGCTTCTCTCTCGAAAGGAAAGTTCAACTCTGTGAGTTGAATGCAAGCATCACAAAGAAGTTTCTGAGAATGCTACTGTCTAGCTTTTATATGAAGCTATTTCCTTTACTACCATAGGCCTCAAAGCGGTCCATATCTCCACTTGCAGATTCTACACAAAGAGAGTTTCCAAACTGCTCTGTCAAAGGGAATGTTCAACTCTGTGACTTGAATGCAATCATCACAAAGTAGTTTCTGAGAATGCTTCTGTTTTAGTTCTGTGCGTTTTATCCCGTTTCCAACGAAATCCTCAGAGAGGCCCAAATATCCACTTGCAGATTCTACAAATAGTGTGTTTCGAAACTGCTCCATCCAAAGGAATGTTCAGCTCTGTGAGTTAAACTCAGTCGTCACCAAGAGTTTTCTGTGAATGCTTCTGTTTTAGTTCTGTGCGGTTTATCCCGTTTCCAACGAAATCCTCAGAGAGGTCCAAATATCTACTTGCAGTTTCTACAGAAAGACCGTTTCAAACCTGAACTATCAAAGAAAGGTTCAACACTGTGAGTTGAATGCAAACATCACGAAGAAGGTTCTGAGAATGCTTCTGTTTAGTTCTGTGCGGTTTATCCCGTTTCCAACGAAATCCTCAGAGAGGACCAAATATCCACTTGCAGTTTCTACAAGAAGAGTGTTTCAAAGCTGAACTATCAAAGAAAGGTTCAGCACTGTGAGTTGAATGCAAACATCACGAAGAGGGTTCTGAGAATGCTTCTGTCTTCTTTCTATAGGAAGTTATTTCCTTTACTACGGTAGGCCTCAAAGAAGTGCAATTATCCCCTTGCAGTTTCTACAAAAAGAGTGTTTCAAACCTGAACTATCAAAGAAAGGTTCCACACTGTGAGTTGAATGCAGACATCACGAAGAAGGTTCTGAGAATGCTTCTGTTTAGTCAGCTGAAATTATCCCGTTTCCAACGAATTCCTCAGAGAGGTCCAAATATGCACTTGCAGATTCTGCAGAAAGTGTGTTTCTAAACTGCTACATCGCAAGGAATGTTCAGCTCTGTGAGTTCCACTCAATCATCCCAAAGAATTTTCTGAGAAAGCTTCTGTCTAGATGTCCTGTGAAGATATACCCGTTTCGAACGAAGGACACAGAGTGGTCCAAATATCCACTTGTAGATCCTGCAAAAAGAGTGTTTCAAACGTGAACTTTGAAAGGAAAGTTCAACTCTGGGATTTGAATGCAAACATCACAAAGAAGATTCTGAGACTGCTTCTGTATAGTTTTTATGTGAAGATGATTCCGTTTCCAACGAAATCTTCAAAGAGGTCTACATGTCCCCTTACAGATGCCACAGAAAGAGAGTTTCAAAACTGCGCTCTCAAAAGGAGTGTTCAACTCCGTGAGTTGAATGCAGTCATCACAGAGAAGCTTCTGAGAATGCTTCTATCTAGTATTTAGGTGAAGATATTTCCTTTTCCACCACAAACCACAAAGCCCTCCAAACGTCCACTTGCAGATTCTAGAAAAAGAGTGTTTCATAGCTGCTCTTTCCAAAGGAAAGTTCAACTCTGGGAGTTGAATACAAACATCACCAAAAAGTTCCTGAGAATGCATCTGTCTAGTTTTTCTATGAAGCTATTCCCTTTACTACCATAGGCCTCAAAGCGCTCCAAATCTCCACTTGCACATTCCACAACAAGAGTGTTTCCAAACTGCTCTATCAATAGGAATGTTCAACTCTGTGAGGTGAATGCAATCATCACAAAGCAGTTTCTGAGAATGCTTCCGTTTAGTTAGGTGCAGTTATCCCGTTTCCAACGAAATCCTCAGAGAGGTCCAAATATCCACTTGTAGATTCTACAAAAAGTGTGTCTCAAACCTGCTCCATCCAAAGGAATGGTCAGCTCTGTGATTTAAACTCAATCATCACAAAGTATTTTCTGAGAATGCTTCTGTCTAGATTTTATGCGAAGATATACCCGTTTCGAACGAAGGCCACAGAGTGGTCCAAATAGCCACTTGCAGATCCTACAGAAAGAGTGTTTCAAACCTGAACTATCAAAGGAAGGTTCAACTCTGGGATTTGAATGCAAACATCACCAAGAAGTTTCTGAGAATGCTTCTGTTTAGTTTTTATGTGAAGATATTCCCGTTTCCAAAGACATCTTCGGAGAGGTCCACATATCCACTTGCAGATTCCACAAAAAGAGAGTTTCAACAATGCTCTATCCATAGGAGGGTTCAAATCTGTGAGTTGAATGCAATCATCACAGAGAAGTTTCTGAGAAGGCTTCTCTCCAGTTTTTATGTGACCATAATTCGTTTTCCACCACAGGCCTGAAAGCGCTCCAAATGTCCACTTGCAGACACTACGAAAAGCATGTTTCAGAACTACTCTATGAAAAGCAACGTGAAACTCTGGGAGTTGAACACAAACATCACAGAGAAGTTTCTGAGAATGCTTCTGTTTAGCTTTTCTGTGAAGATTCTCCCGTTTCCAACGAAATCTTCAAAATAGGTCCAAATATCCACTTGCAGATTCCACAGAAAGAGTGATTGGAAACTGCTGTTTGAAAAGGAACCTTCAACTCTGTGAGTTGAATGCAATCATCACAAAGAAGTTTCTGACAATGCTTCTATCTAGCTTTTACGGGAAGATAATTCCTTTTCCACCACAGGCCTCAAAGCCCTCCAAATGTCCACTTGCAGATTCTGGAAAAAGAGTGTTTCAAAGCTTCTCTCTCGAAAGGAAATTTCAACTCTGTGAGTTGAATGCAAGCATCACAAAGAAGTTTCTGAGAATGCTACTGTTTAGCTTTTATATGAAGCTATTTCCTTTACTACCATAGTCCTCAAAGCGGTCCATATCTCCACTTGCAGATTCTACACAAAGAGAGTTTCCAAACTGCTCTGTCAAAGGGAATGTTCAACTCTGTGACTTGAATGCAATCATCACGAAGTAGTTTCTGAGAATGCTTCTGTTTTAGTTCTGTGCGGTTTATCCCGTTTCCATCGAAATCCTCAGAGAGGCCCAAATATCCACTTGCAGATTCTACAAATAGTGTGTTTCGAAACTGCTCCATCCAAAGGAATGTTCAGCTCTGTGAGTTAAACTCAGTCGTCACCAAGAGTTTTCTGTGAATGCTTCTGTTTTAGTTCTGTGCGGTTTATCCCGTTTCCAACGAAATCCTCAGAGAGGTCCAAATATCTACTTGCAGTTTCTACAGAAAGACCGTTTCAAACCTGAACTATCAAAGAAAGGTTCAACACTGTGAGTTGAATGCAAACATCACGAAGAAGGTTCTGAGAATGCTTCTGTTTAGTTCTGTGCGGTTTATCCCGTTTCCAACGAAATCCTCAGAGAGGACCAAATATCCACTTGCAGTTTCTACAAGAA
Organism: Homo sapiens; assembly: GCF_000001405.40. Taxonomy (NCBI): domain Eukaryota; kingdom Metazoa; phylum Chordata; class Mammalia; order Primates; family Hominidae; genus Homo; species Homo sapiens. The sequence goes on along the minus strand of NC_000017.11, from coordinate 26,355,392 downwards.
GAGTGTTTCAAAGCTGAACTATCAAAGAAAGGTTCAGCACTGTGAGTTGAATGCAAACATCACGAAGAGGGTTCTGAGAATGCTTCTGTCTTCTTTCTATAGGAAGTTATTTCCTTTACTACGGTAGGCCTCAAAGAAGTGCAATTATCCCCTTGCAGTTTCTACAAAAAGAGTGTTTCAAACCTGAACTATCAAAGAAAGGTTCCACACTGTGAGTTGAATGCAGACATCACGAAGAAGGTTCTGAGAATGCTTCTGTTTAGTCAGCTGAAATTATCCCGTTTCCAACGAATTCCTCAGAGAGGTCCAAATATGCACTTGCAGATTCTGCAGAAAGTGTGTTTCTAAACTGCTACATCGCAAGGAATGTTCAGCTCTGTGAGTTCCACTCAATCATCCCAAAGAATTTTCTGAGAAAGCTTCTGTCTAGATGTCGTGTGAAGATATACCCGTTTCGAACGAAGGACACAGAGTGGTCCAAATATCCACTTGTAGATCCTGCAAAAAGAGTGTTTCAAACGTGAACTTTGAAAGGAAAGTTCAACTCTGGGATTTGAATGCAAACATCACAAAGAAGATTCTGAGACTGCTTCTGTATAGTTTTTATGTGAAGATGATTCCGTTTCCAACGAAATCTTCAAAGAGGTCTACATGTCCCCTTGCAGATGCCACAGAAAGAGAGTTTCAAAACTGCGCTCTCAAAAGGAGTGTTCAACTCCGTGAGTTGAATGCAGTCATCACAGAGAAGCTTCTGAGAATGCTTCTATCTAGTATTTAGGTGAAGATATTTCCTTTTCCACCACAAACCACAAAGCCCTCCAAACGTCCACTTGCAGATTCTAGAAAAAGAGTGTTTCATAGCTGCTCTTTCCAAAGGAAAGTTCAACTCTGGGAGTTGAATACAAACATCACCAAAAAGTTCCTGAGAATGCATCTGTCTAGTTTTTCTATGAAGCTATTCCCTTTACTACCATAGGCCTCAAAGCGCTCCAAATCTCCACTTGCACATTCCACAACAAGAGTGTTTCCAAACTGCTCTATCAATAGGAATGTTCAACTCTGTGAGGTGAATGCAATCATCACAAAGCAGTTTCTGAGAATGCTTCCGTTTAGTTAGGTGCAGTTATCCCGTTTCCAACGAAATCCTCAGAGAGGTCCAAATATCCACTTGTAGATTCTACAAAAAGTGTGTCTCAAACCTGCTCCATCCAAAGGAATGGTCAGCTCTGTGATTTAAACTCAATCATCACAAAGTATTTTCTGAGAATGCTTCTGTCTAGATTTTATGCGAAGATATACCCGTTTCGAACGAAGGCCACAGAGTGGTCCAAATAGCCACTTGCAGATCCTACAAAAAGAGTGTTTCAAACCTGAACTATCAAAGGAAGGTTCAACGCTGGGATTTGAATGCAAACATCACCAAGAAGTTTCTGAGAATGCTTCTGTTTAGTTTTTATGTGAAGATATTCCCGTTTCCAAAGACATCTTCGGAGAGGTCCACATATCCACTTGCAGATTCCACAAAAAGAGAGTTTCAACACTGCTCTATCCATAGGAGGGTTCAACTCTGTGAGTTGAATGCAATCATCACAGAGAAGTTTCTGAGAAGGCTTCTCTCCAGTTTTTATGTGACCATAATTCGTTTTCCACCACAGGCCTGAAAGCGCTCCAAATGTCCACTTGCAGACACTACGAAAAGCATGTTTCAGAACTACTCTATGAAAAGCAACGTGAAACTCTGGGAGTTGAACACAAACATCACAGAGAGGTTTCTGAGAATGCTTCTGTTTAGCTTTTCTGTGAAGATTCTCCCGTTTCCAACGAAATCTTCAAAGAGGTCGAAATATCCACTTGCAGATTCCACAGAAAGAGTGATTGGAAACTGCTGTTTGAAAAGGAACCTTCAACTCTGTGAGTTGAATGCAATCATCACAAAGAAGTTTCTGACAATGCTTCTATCTAGCTTTTACGGGAAGATAATTCCTTTTCCACCACAGGCCTCAAAGCCCTCCAAATGTCCACTTGCAGATTCTGGAAAAAGAGTGTTTCAAAGCTTCTCTCTCGAAAGGAAAGTTCAACTCTGTGAGTTGAATGCAAGCATCACAAAGAAGTTTCTGAGAATGCTACTGTCTAGCTTTTATATGAAGCTATTTCCTTTACTACCATAGGCCTCAAAGCGGTCCATATCTCCACTTGCAGATTCTACACAAAGAGAGTTTCCAAACTGCTCTGTCAAAGGGAATGTTCAACTCTGTGACTTGAATGCAATCATCACAAAGTAGTTTCTGAGAATGCTTCTGTTTAGTTCTGTGCGGTTTATCCCGTTTCCAACGAAATCCTCAGAGAGGCCTAAATATCCACTTGCACATTCTACAAATAGTGTGTTTCGAAACTGCTCCATCCAAAGGAATGTTCAGCTCTGTGAGTTAAACTCAGTCGTCACCAAGAGTTTTCTGTGAATGCTTCTGTTTTAGTTCTGTGCGGTTTATCCCGTTTCCAACGAAATCCTCAGAGAGGTCCAAATATCTACTTGCAGTTTCTACAGAAAGACCGTTTCAAACCTGAACTATCAAAGAAAGGTTCAACACTGTGAGTTGAATGCAAACATCACGAAGAAGGTTCTGAGAATGCTTCTGTTTTAGTTCTGTGCGGTTTATCCCGTTTCCAACGAAATCCTCAGAGAGGACCAAACATCCACTTGCAGTTTCTACAAAAAGAGTGTTTCAAAGCTGCACTATCAAAGAAAGGTTCAGCACTGTGAGTTGAATGCAAACATCACGAAGAGGGCTCTGAGAATTCTTCTGTCTTCTTTCTATAGGAAGTTATTTCCTTTACTACGGTAGGCCTCAAAGAAGTGCAATTATCCCCTTGCAGTTTCTACAAAAAGAGTGTTTCAAACCTGAACTATCAAAGAAAGGTTCCACACTGTGAGTTGAATGCAGACATCACGAAGAAGGTTCTGAGAATGCTTCTGTTTAGTCAGCTGAAATTATCCCGTTTCCAACGAATTCCTCAGAGAGGTCCACATATGCACTTGCAGATTCTGCAGAAAGGGTGTTTCTAAACTGCTACATCGCAAGGAGTGTTCAGCTCTGTTTGCTCAACTCAATCATCCCAAAGAATTTTCTGAGAAAGCTTCTGTCTAGATGTCGTGTGAAGATATACCCGTTTCGAACGAAGGACACAGAGTGGTCCAAATATCCACTTGTAGATCCTGCAAAAAGAGTGTTTCAAACGTGAACTTTGAAAGGAAAGTTCAACTCTGGGATTTGAATGCAAACATCACAAAGAAGATTCTGAGACTGCTTCTGTATAGTTTTTATGTGAAGATGATTCCGTTTCCAACGAAATCTTCAAAGAGGTCTACATGTCCCCTTGCAGATGCCACAGAAAGAGAGTTTCAAAACTGCGCTCTCAAAAGGAGTGTTCAACTCCGTGAGTTGAATGCAGTCATCACAGAGAAGCTTCTGAGAATGCTTCTATCTAGTATTTAGGTGAAGATATTTCCTTTTCCACCACAAACCACAAAGCCCTCCAAACGTCCACTTGCAGATTCTAGAAAAAGAGTGTTTCATAGCTGCTCTTTCCAAAGGAAAGTTCAACTCTGGGAGTTGAATACAAACATCACCAAAAAGTTCCTGAGAATGCATCTGTCTAGTTTTTCTATGAAGCTATTCCCTTTACTACCGTAGGCCTCAAAGCGCTCCAAATCTCCACTTGCACATTCCACAACAAGAGTGTTTCCAAACTGCTCTATCAATAGGAATGTTCAACTCTGTGAGGTGAATGCAATCATCACAAAGCAGTTTCTGAGAATGCTTCCGTTTAGTTAGGTGCAGTTATCCCGTTTCCAACGAAATCCTCAGAGAGGTCCAAATATCCACTTGTAGATTCTACAAAAAGTGTGTCTCAAACCTGCTCCATCCAAAGGAATGTTCAGCTCTGTGATTTAAACTCAATCATCACAAAGTATTTTCTGAGAATGCTTCTGTCTAGATTTTATGCGAAGATATACCCGTTTCGAACGAAGGCCACAGAGTGGTCCAAATAGCCACTTGCAGATCCTACAGAAAGAGTGTTTCAAACCTGAACTATCAAAGGAAGGTTCAACTCTGGGATTTGAATGCAAACATCACCAAGAAGTTTCTGAGAATGCTTCTGTTTAGTTTTTATGTGAAGATATTCCCGTTTCCAAAGACATCTTCGGAGAGGTCCACATATCCACTTGCAGATTCCACAAAAAGAGAGTTTCAACACTGCTCTATCCATAGGAGGGTTCAACTCTGTGAGTTGAATGCAATCATCACAGAGAAGTTTCTGAGAAGGCTTCTCTCCAGTTTTTATGTGACCATAATTCGTTTTCCACCACAGGCCTGAAAGCGCTCCAAATGTCCACTTGCAGACACTACGAAAAGCATGTTTCAGAACTACTCTATGAAAAGCAACGTGAAACTCTGGGAGTTGAACACAAACATCACAGAGAAGTTTCTGAGAATGCTTCTGTTTAGCTTTTCTGTGAAGATTCTCCCGTTTCCAACGAAATCTTCAAAGAGGTCGAAATATCCACTTGCAGATTCCACAGAAAGAGTGATTGGAAACTGCTGTTTGAAAAGGAACCTTCAACTCTGTGAGTTGAATGCAATCATCACAAAGAAGTTTCTGACAATGCTTCTATCTAGCTTTTACGGGAAGATAATTCCTTTTCCACCACAGGCCTCAAAGCCCTCCAAATGTCCACTTGCAGATTCTGGAAAAAGAGTGTTTCAAAGCTTCTCTCTCGAAAGGAAAGTTCAACTCTGTGAGTTGAATGCAAGCATCACAAAGAAGTTTCTGAGAATGCTACTGTCTAGCTTTTATATGAAGCTATTTCCTTTACTACCATAGGCCTCAAAGCGGTCCCATATCTCCACTTGCAGATTCTACACAAAGAGAGTTTCCAAACTGCTCTGTCAAAGGGAATGTTCAACTCTGTGACTTGAATGCAATCATCACAAAGTAGTTTCTGAGAATGTTTCTGTTTAGTTCTCTGCGGTTTATCCTGTTTCCAACGAAATCCTCAGAGAGGCCCCAATATCCACTTGCACATTCTACAAATAGTGTGTTTCGAAACTGCTCCATCCAAAGGAATGTTCAGCTCTGTGAGTTAAACTCAGTCGTCACCAAGAGTTTTCTGTGAATGCTTCTGTTTTAGTTCTGTGCGGGTTATCCCGTTTCCAACGAAATCCTCAGAGAGGTCCAAATATCTACTTGCAGTTTCTACAGAAAGACCGTTTCAAACCTGAACTATCAAAGAAAGGTTCAACACTGTGAGTTGAATGCAAACATCACGAAGAAGGTTCTGAGAATGCTTCTGTTTTAGTTCTGTGCGGTTTATCCCGTTTCCAACGAAATCCTCAGAGAGGACCAAACATCCACTTGCAGTTTCTACAAAAAGAGTGTTTCAAAGCTGCACTATCAAAGAAAGGTTCAGCACTGTGAGTTGAATGCAAACATCACGAAGAGGGCTCTGAGAATTCTTCTGTCTTCTTTCTATAGGAAGTTATTTCCTTTACTACGGTAGGCCTCAAAGAAGTGCAATTATCCCCTTGCAGTTTCTACAAAAAGAGTGTTTCAAACCTGAACTATCAAAGAAAGGTTCCACACTGTGAGTTGAATGCAGACATCACGAAGAAGGTTCTGAGAATGCTTCTGTTTAGTCAGCTGAAATTATCCCGTTTCCAACGAATTCCTCACAGAGGTCCAAATATGCACTTGCAGATTCTGCAGAAAGTGTGTTTCTAAACTGCTACATCGCAAGGAATGCTCAGCTCTGTGAGTTCAACTCAATCATCCCAAAGAATTTTCTGAGAAAGCTTCTGTCTAGATGTCGTGTGAAGATATACCCGTTTCGAACGAAGGACACAGAGTGGTCCAAATATCCACTTGTAGATCCTGCAAAAAGAGTGTTTCAAACGTGAACTTTGAAAGGAAAGTTCAACTCTGGGATTTGAATGCAAACATCACAAAGAAGATTCTGAGACTGCTTCTGTATAGTTTTTATGTGAAGATGATTCCGTTTCCAACGAAATCTTCAAAGAGGTCTACATGTCCCCTTGCAGATGCCACAGAAAGAGAGTTCCAAAACTGCGCTCTCAAAAGGAGTGTTCAACTCCGTGAGTTGAATGCAGTCATCACAGAGAAGCTTCTGAGAATGCTTCTATGTAGTATTTAGGTGAAGATATTTCCTTTTCCACCACAAACCACAAAGCCCTCCAAATGTCCACTTGCAGATTCTAGAAAAAGAGTGTTTCATAGCTGCTCTTTCCAAAGGAAAGTTCAACTCTGGGAGTTGAATACAAACATCACCAAAATGTTCCTGAGAATGCATCTGTCTAGTTTTTCTATGAAGCTATTCCCTTTACTACCATAGGCCTCAAAGCGCTCCAAATCTCCACTTGCACATTCCACAAGAAGAGTGTTTCCAAACTGCTCTATCAATAGGAATGTTCAACTCTGTGAGGTGAATGCAATCATCACAAAGCAGTTTCTGAGAATGCTTCCGTTTAGTTAGGTGCAGTTATCCCGTTTCCAACGAAATCCTCAGAGAGGTCCAAATATCCACTTGTAGATTCTACAAAAAGTGTGTCTCAAACCTGCTCCATCCAAAGGAATGGTCAGCTCTGTGATTTAAACTCAATCATCACAAAGTATTTTCTGAGAATGCTTCTGTCTAGATTTTATGCGAAGATATACCCGTTTCGAACGAAGGCCACAGAGTGGTCCAAATAGCCACTTGCAGATCCTACAAAAAGAGTGTTTCAAACCTGAACTATCAAAGGAAGGTTCAACTCTGGGATTTGAATGCAAACATCACCAAGAAGTTTCTGAGAATGCTTCTGTTTAGTTTTTATGTGAAGATATTCCCGTTTCCAAAGACATCTTCGGAGAGGTCCACATATCCACTTGCAGATTCCACAAAAAGAGAGTTTCAACACTGCTCTATCCATAGGAGGGTTCAACTCTGTGAGTTGAATGCAATCATCACAGAGAAGTTTCTGAGAAGGCTTCTCTCCAGTTTTTATGTGACCATAATTCGTTTTCCACCACAGGCCTGAAAGCGCTCCAAATGTCCACTTGTAGACACTACGAAAAGCATGTTTCAGAACTACTCTATGAAAAGCAATGTGAAACTCTGGGAGTTGAACACAAACATCACAGAGAAGTTTCTGAGAATGCTTCTGTTTAGCTTTCCTGTGAAGATTCTCCCGTTTCCAACGAAATCTTCAAAATAGGTCCAAATATCCACTTGCAGATTCCACAGAAAGAGTGATTGGAAACTGCTCTTTGAAAAGGAACCTTCAACTCTGTGAGTTGAATGCAATCATCACAAAGAAGTTTCTGACAATGCTTCTATCTAGCTTTTACGGGAAGATAATTCCTTTTCCACCACAGGCCTCAAAGCCCTCCAAATGTCCACTTGCAGATTCTGGAAAAAGAGTGTTTCAAAGCTTCTCTCTCGAAAGGAAAGTTCAACTCTCTGAGTTGAATGCAAGCATCACAAAGAAGTTTCTGAGAATGCTACTGTCTAGCTTTTATATGAAGCTATTTCCTTTACTACCATAGGCCTCAAAGCGGTCCATATCTCCACTTGCAGATTCTACACAAAGAGAGTTTCCAAACTGCTCTGTCAAAGGGAATGTTCAACTCTGTGACTTGAATGCAATCATCACAAAGTAGTTTCTGAGAATGCTTCTGTTTATTTCTTTGCCATTTATCCCGTTTCCAACGAAATCCTCAGAGAGGCCCAAATATCCACTTGCACATTCTATAAATAGTGTGTTTCGAAACTGCTCCCTCCAAAGGAATGTTCAGCTCTGTGAGTTAAACTCAGTCGTCACCAAGAGTTTTCTGTGAATGCTTCTGTTTTAGTTCTGTGCGGGTTATCCCGTTTCCAACGAAATCCTCAGAGAGGTCCAAATATCTACTTGCAGTTTCTACAGAAAGACCGTTTCAAACCTGAACTATCAAAGAAAGGTTCAACACTGTGAGTTGAATGCAAACATCACGAAGAAGGTTCTGAGAATGCTTCTGTTTAGTTCTGTGCGGTTTATCCCGTTTCCAACGAAATCCTCACAGAGGACCAAATATCCACTTGCAGTTTCTACAAGAAGAGTGTTTCAAAGCTGAACTATCAAAGAAAGGTTCAGCACTGTGAGTTGAATGCAAACATCCGAAGAGGGTTCTGAGAATGCTTCTGTCTTCTTTTTATAGGAAGTTATCTCCTTTACTACGGTAGGCCTCAAAGAAGTGCAATGATCCCCTTGCAGTTTCTACAAAAAGAGTGTTTCAAACCTGAACTATCAAAGAAAGGTTCCACACTGTGAGTTGAATGCAGACATCACGAAGAAGGTTCTGAGAATGCTTCTGTTTAGTCAGCTGAAATTATCCCGTTTCCAACGAATTCCTCAGAGAGGTCCACATATGCACTTGCAGATTCTGCAGAACGTGTGTTTCTAAACTGCTACATCGCAAGGAGTGTTCAGCTCTGTTTGCTCAACTCAATCATCCCAAAGAATTTTCTGAGAAAGCTTCTGTCTAGATGTCATGTGAAGATATACCCGTTTCGAACGAAGGACACAGAGTGGTCCAAATATCCACTTGTAGGTCCTGCAAAAAGAGTGTTTCAAACGTGAACTTTGAAAGGAAAGTTCAAATCTGGGATTTGAATGCAAACATCACAAAGAAGATTCTGAGACTGCTTCTGTATAGTTTTTATGTGAAGATGATTCCGTTTCCAACGAAATCTTCAAAGAGGTCTACATGTCCCCTTGCAGATGCCACAGAAAGAGAGTTTCAAAACTGCGCTCTCAAAAGGAGTGTTCAACTCCGTGAGTTGAATGCAGTCATCACAGAGAAGCTTCTGAGAATGCTTCTATCTAGTATTTAGGTGAAGATATTTCCTTTTCCACCACAAACCACAAAGCCCTCCAAACGTCCACTTGCAGATTCTAGAAAAAGAGTGTTTCATAGCTGCTCTTTCCAAAGGAAAGTTCAACTCTGGGAGTTGAATACAAACATCACCAAAAAGTTCCTGAGAATGCATCTGTCTACTTTTTCTATGAAGCTATTCCCTTTACTACCATAGGCCTCAAAGCGCTCCAAATCTCCACTTGCACATTCCACAACAAGAGTGTTTCCAAACTGCTCTATCAATAGGAATGTTCAACTCTGTGAGGTGAATGCAATCATCACAAAGCAGTTTCTGAGAATGCTTCCGTTTAGTTAGGTGCAGTTATCCCGTTTCCAACGAAATCCTCAGAGAGGTCCAAATATCCACTTGTAGATTCTACAAAAAGTGTGTCTCAAACCTGCTCCATCCAAAGGAATGGTCAGCTCTGTGATTTAAACTCAATCATCACAAAGTATTTTCTGAGAATGCTTCTGTCTAGATTTTATGCGAAGATATACCCGTTTCGAACGAAGGCCACAGAGTGGTCCAAATAGCCACTTGCAGATCCTACAGAAAGAGTGTTTCAAACCTGAACTATCAAAGGAAGGTTCAACTCTGGGATTTGAATGCAAACATCACCAAGAAGTTTCTGAGAATGCTTCTGTTTAGTTTTTATGTGAAGATATTCCCGTTTCCAAAGACATCTTCGGAGAGGTCCACATATCCACTTGCAGATTCCACAAAAAGAGAGTTTCAACACTGCTCTATCCATAGGAGGGTTCAACTCTGTGAGTTGAATGCAATCATCACAGAGAAGTTTCTGAGAAGGCTTCTCTCCAGTTTTTATGTGACCATAATTCGTTTTCCACCACAGGCCTGAAAGCGCTCCAAATGTCCACTTGCAGACACTACGAAAAGCATGTTTCAGAACTACTCTATGAAAAGCAACGTGAAACTCTGGGAGTTGAACACAAACATCACAGAGAAGTTTCTGAGAATGCTTCTGTTTAGCTTTTCTGTGAAGATTCTCCCGTTTCCAACGAAATCTTCAAAGAGGTCCAAATATCCACTTGCAGATTCCACAGAAAGAGTGTTTGGAAACTGCTGTTTGTAAAGGAACCTTCATCTCTGTGAGTTGAATGCAATCATCACAAAGAAGTTTCTGACAATGCTTCTATCTAGCTTTTACGGGAAGATAATTCCTTTTCCACCACAGGCCTCAAAGCCCTCCAAATGTCCACTTGCAGATTCTGGAAAAAGAGTGTTTCAAAGCTTCTCTCTCGAAAGGAAAGTTCAACTCTGTGAGTTGAATGCAAGCATCACAAAGAAGTTTCTGAGAATGCTACTGTCTAGCTTTTATATGAAGCTATTTCCTTTACTACCATAGGCCTCAAAGCGGTCCATATCTCCACTTGCAGATTCTACACAAAGAGAGTTTCCAAACTGCTCTGTCAAAGGGAATGTTCAACTACTGTGACTTGAATGCAATCATCACAAAGTAGTTTCTGAGAATGCTTCTGTTTTAGTTCTGTGCGTTTTATCCCGTTTCCAACGAAATCCTCAGAGAGGCCCAAATATCCACTTGCAGATTCTACAAATAGTGTGTTTCGAAACTGCTCCATCCAAAGGAATGTTCAGCTCTGTGAGTTAAACTCAGTCGTCACCAAGAGTTTTACTGTGAATGCTATCTGTTTTAGTTCTGTGCGGGTTATCCCGTTTCCAACGAAATCCTCAGAGAGGTCCAAATATCTACTTGCAGTTTCTACAGAAAGACCGTTTCAAACCTGAACTATCAAAGAAAGGTTCAACACTGTGAGTTGAATGCAAACATCACGAAGAAGGTTCTGAGAATGCTTCTGTTTAGTTCTGTGCAGTTTATCCCGTTTCCAACGAAATGCTCAGAGAGGACCAAATATCCACTTGCAGTTTCTACAAAAAGAGTGTTTCAAAGCTGAACTATCAAAGAAAGGTTCAGCACTGTGAGTTGAATGCAAACATCACGAAGAGGGTTCTGAGAATGCTTCTGTCTTCTTTTTATAGGAAGTTATCTCCTTTACTACGGTAGGCCTCAAAGAAGTGCAATGATCCCCTTGCAGTTTCTACAAAAAGAGTGTTTCAAACCTGAACTATCAAAGAAAGGTTCCACACTGTGAGTTGAATGCAGACATCACGAAGAAGGTTCTGAGAATGCTTCTGTTTAGTCAGCTGAAATTATCCCGTTTCCAACGAATTCCTCAGAGAGGTCCAAATATGCACTTGCAGATTCTGCAGAAAGTGTGTTTCTAAACTGCTACATCGCAAGGAATGTTCAGCTCTGTGAGTTCCACTCAATCATCCCAAAGAATTTTCTGAGAAAGCTTCTGTCTAGATGTCATGTGAAGATATACCCGTTTCGAACGAAGGACACAGAGTGGTCCAAATATCCACTTGTAGATCCTGCAAAAAGAGTGTTTCAAACGTGAAATTTGAAACGAAAGTTCAACTCTGGGATTTGAATGCAAACATCACAAAGAAGATTCTGAGACTGCTTCTGTATAGTTTTTATGTGAAGATGATTCCGTTTCCAACGAAATCTTCAAAGAGGTCTACATGTCCCCTTGCAGATGCCACAGAAAGAGAGTTTCAAAACTGCGCTCTCAAAAGGAGTGTTCAACTCCGTGAGTTGAATGCAGTCATCACAGAGAAGCTTCTGAGAATGCTTCTATCTAGTATTTAGGTGAAGATATTTCTTTTTCCACCACAAACCACAAAGCCCTCCAAACGTCCACTTGCAGATTCTAGAAAAAGAGTGTTTCATAGCTGCTCTTTCCAAAGGAAAGTTCAACTCTGGGAGTTGAATACAAACATCACCAAAAAGTTCCTGAGAATGCATCTGTCTAGTTTTTCTATGAAGCTATTCCCTTTACTACCATAGGCCTCAAAGCGCTCCAAATCTCCACTTGCACATTCCACAACAAGAGTGTTTCCAAACTGCTCTATCAATAGGAATGTTCAACTCTGTGAGGTGAATGCAATCATCACAAAGCAGTTTCTGAGAATGCTTCCGTTTAGTTAGGTGCAGTTATCCCGTTTCCAACGAAATTCTCAGAGAGGTCCAAATATCCACTTGTAGATTCTACAAAAAGTGTGTCTCAAACCTGCTCCATCCAAAGGAATGTTCAGCTCTGTGAGTTAAACTCAATCATCACAAAGTATTTTCTGAGAATCCTTCTGTCTAGATTTTATGCGAAGATGTACCCGTTTCGAACGAAGGCCACAGAGTGGTCCAAATATCCACTTGCAGATCCTACAAAAAGTGTGTTTCAAACCTGAACTATCACAGGAAGGTTCAACTCTGGGATTTGAATGCAAACATCACCAAGAAGTTTCTGAGAATGCTTCTGTTTAGTTTTTATGTGAAGATATTCCCGTTTCCAAAGACATCTTCGGAGAGGTCCACATATCCACTTGCAGATTCCACAAAAAGAGAGTTTCAACACTGCTCTATCCATAGGAGGGTTCAACTCTGTGAGTTGAATGCAATCATCACAGAGAAGTTTCTGAGAAGGCTTCTCTCCAGTTTTTATGTGACCATAATTCGTTTTCCACCACAGGCCTGAAAGCGCTCCAAATGTCCACTTGTAGACACTACGAAAAGCATGTTTCAGAACTACTCTATGAGAAGCAATGTGAAACTCTGGGAGTTGAACACAAACATCACAGAGAAGTTTCTGAGAATGTTTCTGTTTAGCTTTTCTGTGAAGATTCTCCCGTTTCCAACGAAATCTTCAAAGAGGTCCAAATATCCACTTGCAGATTCCACAGAAAGAGTGTTTGGAAACTGCTGTTTGTAAAGGAACCTTCATCTCTGTGAGTTGAATGCAATCATCACAAAGAAGTTTCTGACAATGCTTCTATCTAGCTTTTACGGGAAGATAATTCCTTTTCCACCACAGGCCTCAAAGCCCTCCAAATGTCCACTTGCAGATTCTGGAAAAAGAGTGTTTCAAAGCTTCTCTCTCGAAAGGAAAGTTCAACTCTGTGAGTTGAATGCAAGCATCACAAAGAAGTTTCTGAGAATGCTACTGTCTAGCTTTTATATGAAACTATTTCCTTTACTACCATAGTCCTCAAAGCATTCCATATCTCCACTTGCAGATTCTACACAAAGAGAGTTTCCAAACTGCTCTATCAAAGGGAATGTTCAGCTCTGTGACTTAAATGCAATCATCACAAAGTAGTTTCTCAGAATGCTTCTGTTTTAGTTCTGTGCGGTTTATCCCGTTTCCAACGAAATCCTCAGAGAGGCCCAAATATCCACTTGCAGATTCTACAAAGAGTGTGTTTCGAAACTGCTCCATCCAAAGGAATGTTCAGCTCTGTGAGTTAAACTCAGTCGTCACCAAGTGTTTTCTGTGAATGCTTCTGTTTTAGTTCTGTGCGGTTTATCCCGTTTCCAACGAAATCCTCAGAGAGGTCCAAATATCTACTTGCAGTTTCTACAGAAAGACCGTTTCAAACCTGAACTATCAAAGAAAGGTTCAACACTGTGAGTTGAATGCAAACATCACGAAGAAGGTTCTGAGAATGCTTCTGTTTTAGTTCTGTGCAGTTTATCCCGTTTCCAACGAAATCCTCAGAGAGGACCAAATATCCACTTGCAGTTTCTACAAAAAGAGTGTTTCAAAGCTGCACTATCAAAGAAAGGTTCAGCACTGTGAGTTGAATGCAAACATCACGAAGAGGGCTCTGAGAATGCTTCTGTCTTCTTTCTATAGGAAGTTATTTCCTTTACTACGGTAGGCCTCAAAGAAGTGCAATTATCCCCTTGCAGTTTCTACAAAAAGAGTGTTTCAAACCTGAACTATCAAAGAAAGGTTCCACACTGTGAGTTGAATGCAGACATCACGAAGAAGGTTCTGAGAATGCTTCTGTTTAGTCAGCTGAAATTATCCCGTTTCCAACGAATTCCTCAGAGAGGTCCAAATATGCACTTGCAGATTCTGCAGAAAGTGTGTTTCTAAACTGCTACATCGCAAGGAATGTTCAGCTCTGTGAGTTCCACTCAATCATCCCAAAGAATTTTCTGAGAAAGCTTCTGTCTAGATGTCATGTGAAGATATACCCGTTTCGAACGAAGGACACAGAGTGGTCCAAATATCCACTTGTAGATCCTGCAAAAAGAGTGTTTCAAACGTGAACATTGAAAGGAAAGTTCAACTCTGGGATTTGAATGCAAACATCACAAAGAAGATTCTGAGACTGCTTCTGTATAGTTTTTATGTGAAGATGATTCCGTTTCCAACGAAATCTTCAAAGAGGTCTACATGTCCCCTTGCAGATGCCACAGAAAGAGAGTTTCAAAACTGCGCTCTCAAAAGGAGTGTTCAACTCCGTGAGTTGAATGCAGTCATCACAGAGAAGCTTCTGAGAATGCTTCTATCTAGTATTTAGGTGAAGATATTTCCTTTTCCACCACAAACCACAAAGCCCTCCAAACGTCCACTTGCAGATTCTAGAAAAAGAGTGTTTCATAGCTGCTCTTTCCAAAGGAAAGTTCAACTCTGGGAGTTGAATACAAACATCACCAAAAAGTTCCTGAGAATGCATCTGTCTAGTTTTTCTATGAAGCTATTCCCTTTACTACCACAGGCCTCAAAGCGCTCCAAATCTCCACTTGCACATTCCACAACAAGAGTGTTTCCAAACTGCTCTATCAATAGGAATGTTCAACTCTGTGAGGTGAATGCAATCATCACAAAGCAGTTTCTGAGAATGCTTATCCGTTTAGTTAGGTGCAGTTATCCCGTTTCCAACGAAATCCTCAGAGAGGTCCAAATATCCACTTGTAGATTCTACAAAAAGTGTGTCTCAAACCTGCTCCATCCAAAGGAATGGTCAGCTCTGTGATTTAAACTCAATCATCACAAAGTATTTTCTGAGAATGCTTCTGTCTAGATTTTATGCGAAGATGTACCCGTTTCGAACGAAGGCCACAGAGTGGTCCAAATATCCACTTTCAGATCCTACAAAAAGAGTGTTTCAAACCTGAACTCTCAAAGGAAGGTTCAACTCTGGGATTTGAATGCAAACATCACCAAGAAGTTTCTGAGAATGCTTCTGTTTAGTTTTTATGTGAAGATATTCCCGTTTCCAAAGACATCTTCGGAGAGGTCCACATATCCACTTGCAGATTCCACAAAAAGAGAGTTTCAACACTGCTCTATCCATAGGAGGGTTCAACTCTGTGAGTTGAATGCAATCATCACAGAGAAGTTTCTGAGAAGGCTTCTCTCCAGTTTTTATGTGACCATAATTCGTTTTCCACCACAGGCCTGAAAGCGCTCCAAATGTCCACTTGTAGACACTACGAAAAGCATGTTTCAGAACTACTCTATGAAAAGCAATGTGAAACTCTGGGAGTTGAACACAAACATCACAGAGAAGTTTCTGAGAATGCTTCTGTTTTAGTTCTGTGCGTTTTATCCCGTTTCCAACGAAATCCTCAGAGAGGCCCAAATATCCACTTGCAGATTCCACAGAAAGAGTGATTGGAAACTGCTGTTTGAAAAGGAACCTTCAACTCTGTGAGTTGAATGCAATCATCACAAAGAAGTTTCTGACAATGCTTCTATCTAGCTTTTACGGGAAGATAATTCCTTTTCCACCACAGGCCTCAAAGCCCTCCAAATGTCCACTTGCAGATTCTGGAAAAAGAGTGTTTCAAAGCTTCTCTCTCGAAAGGAAAGTTCAACTCTGTGAGTTGAATGCAAGCATCACAAAGAAGTTTCTGAGAATGCTACTGTCTAGCTTTTATATGAAGCTATTTCCTTTACTACCATAGGCCTCAAAGCGGTCCATATCTCCACTTGCAGATTCTACACAAAGAGAGTTTCCAAACTGCTCTGTCAAAGGGAATGTTCAACTCTGTGACTTGAATGCAATCATCACAAAGTAGTTTCTGAGAATGCTTCTGTTTAGTTCTGTGCGGTTTATCCCGTTTCCAACGAAATCCTCAGAGAGGCCTAAATATCCACTTGCACATTCTACAAATAGTGTGTTTCGAAACTGCTCCATCCAAAGGAATGTTCAGCTCTGTGAGTTAAACTCAGTCGTCACCAAGAGTTTTCTGTGAATGCTTCTGTTTTAGTTCTGTGCGGGTTACCCCGTTTCCAACGAAATCCTCAGAGAGGTCCAAATATCTACTTGCAGTTTCTACAGAAAGACCGTTTCAAACCTGAACTATCAAAGAAAGGTTCAACACTGTGAGTTGAATGCAAACATCACGAAGAAGGTTCTGAGAATGCTTCTGTTTAGTTCTGTGCAGTTTATCCCGTTTCCAACGAAATGCTCAGAGAGGACCAAATATCCACTTGCAGTTTCTACAAAAAGAGTGTTTCAAAGCTGAACTATCAAAGAAAGGTTCAGCACTGTGAGTTGAATGCAAACATCACGAAGAGGGTTCTGAGAATGCTTCTGTCTTCTTTCTATAGGAAGTTATTTCCTTTACTACGGTAGGCCTCAAAGAAGTGCAATTATCCCCTTGCAGTTTATACAAAAAGAGTGTTTCAAACCTGAACTATCAAAGAAAGGTTCCACACTGTGAGTTGAATGCAGACATCACGAAGAAGGTTCTGAGAATGCTTCTGTTTAGTCAGCTGAAATTATCCCGTTTCCAACGAATTCCTCAGAGAGGTCCAAATATGCACTTGCAGATTCTGCAGAAAGTGTGTTTCTAAACTGCTCCATCGCAAGGAATGTTCAGCTCTGTGAGTTCAACTCAATCATCCCAAAGAATTTTCTGAGAAAGCTTCTGTCTAGATGTCATGTGAAGATATACCCGTTTCGAACGAAGGACACAGAGTGGTCCAAATATCCACTTGTAGATCCTGCAAAAAGAGTGTTTCAAACGTGAACTTTGAAAGGAAAGTTCAACTCTGGGATTTGAATGCAAACATCACAAAGAAGATTCTGAGACTGCTTCTGTATAGTTTTTATGTGAAGATGAATTCCGTTTCCAACGAAATCTTCAAAGAGGTCTACATGTCCCCTTGCAGATGCCACAGAAAGAGAGTTTCAAAACTGCGCTCTCAAAAGGAGTGTTCAACTCCGTGAGTTGAATGCAGTCATCACAGAGAAGCTTCTGAGAATGCTTCTATCTAGTATATTAGGTGAAGATATTTCCTTTTCCACCACAAACCACAAAGCCCTCCAAACGTCCTCTTGCAGATTCTAGAAAAAGAGTGTTTCATAGCTGCTCTTTCCAAAGGAAAGTTCAACTCTCGGAGTTGAATACAAACATCACCAAAAAGTTCCTGAGAATGCATCTGTCTAGTTTTTCTATGAAGCTATTCCCTCTAATACCATAGGCCTCAAAACGCTCCAAATCTCCACTTGCACATTCCACAACAAGAGTGTTTCCAAACTGCTCTATCAATAGAAATGTTCAACTCTGTGAGGTGAATGCAATCATCACAAAGCAGTTTCTGAGAATGCTTCCGTTTAGTTAGGTGCAGTTATCCCGTTCCCAACGAAATCCTCAGGAGTAGGTCCAAATATCCACTTGTAGATTCTACAAGAAGTGTGTCTCAAACCTGCTCCATCCAAAGGAATGTTCAGCTCTGTGAGTTCAACTCAATCATCACAAAGTATTTTCTGAGAATGCTTCTGTCTAGATTTTATGCGAAGATGTACCCGTTTCGAACGAAGGCCACAGAGTGGTCCAAATATCCACTTGCAGATCCTACAAAAAGAGTGTTTCAAACCTGAACTATCAAAGGAAGGTTCAACTCTGGGATTTGAATGCAAACATCACTAAGAAGTTTCTGAGAATGCTTCTGTTTAGTTTTTATGTGAAGATATTCCCGTTTCCAAAGACATCTTCGGAGAGGTCCACATATCCACTTGCAGATTCCACAAAAAGAGAGTTTCAACACTGCTCTATCCATAGGAGGGTTCAACTCTGTGAGTTGAATGCAATCATCACAGAGAAGTTTCTGAGAAGGCTTCTCTCCAGTTTTTATGTGACCATAATTCGTTTTCCACCACAGGCCTGAAAGCGCTCCAAATGTCCACTTGCAGACACTACGAAAAGCATGTTTCAGAACTACTCTATGAAAAGCAACGTGAAACTCTGGGAGTTGAACACAAACATCACAGAGAAGTTTCTGAGAATGCTTCTGTTTTAGTTCTGTGCCTTTTATCCCGTTTCCAACGAAATCCTCAGAGAGGCCCAAATATCCACTTGCAGATTCCACAGAA
This sequence comes from Homo sapiens, assembly GCF_000001405.40. Taxonomy (NCBI): domain Eukaryota; kingdom Metazoa; phylum Chordata; class Mammalia; order Primates; family Hominidae; genus Homo; species Homo sapiens. The sequence continues at coordinate 26,337,223 of NC_000017.11, read as the reverse complement.
AGAGTGATTGGAAACTGCTGTTTGAAAAGGAACCTTCAACTCTGTGAGTTGAATGCAATCATCACAAAGAAGTTTCTGACAATGCTTCTGTTTTAGTTCTGTGCGGTTTATCCCGTTTCCAACGAAATCCTCAGAGAGGACCAAACATCCACTTGCAGTTTCTACAAAAATAGTGTTTCAAAGCTGCACTATCAAAGAAAGGTTCAGCACTGTGAGTTGAATGCAAACATCACGAAGAGGGCTCTGAGAATTCTTCTGTTTAGTTCTGTGCGGTTTATCCCGTTTCCAACGAAATCCTCAGAGAGGACCAAATATCCACTTGCAGTTTCTACAAGAAGAGTGTTTCAAAGCTGAACTATCAAAGAAAGGTTCAGCACTGTGAGTTGAATGCAAACATCACGAAGAGGGTTCTGAGAAATCTTCTGTCTTCTTTCTATAGGAAGTTATTTCCTTTACTACGGTAGGCCTCAAAGAAGTGCAATTATCCCCTTGCAGTTTCTACAAAAAGAGTGTTTCAAACCTGAACTATCAAAGAAAGGTTCCACACTGTGAGTTGAATGCAGACATCACGAAGAAGGTTCTGAGAATGCTTCTGTTTAGTCAGCTGAAATTATCCCGTTTCCAACGAATTCCTCAGAGAGGTCCAAATATGCACTTGCAGATTCTGCAGAAAGTGTGTTTCTAAACTGCTACATCGCAAGGAATGTTCAGCTCTGTGAGTTCCACTCAATCATCCCAAAGAATTTTCTGAGAAAGCTTCTGTCTAGATGTCATGTGAAGATATACCCGTTTCGAACGAAGGACACAGAGTGGTCCAAATATCCACTTGTAGATCCTGCAAAAAGAGTGTTTCAAACGTGAACTTTGAAAGGAAAGTTCAACTCTGGGATTTGAATGCAAACACCACAAAGAAGATTCTGAGACTGCTTCTGTATAGTTTTTATGTGAAGATGATTCCGTTTCCAACGAAATCTTCAAAGAGGTCTACATGTCCCCTTGCAGATGCCACAGAAAGAGAGTTTCAAAACTGCGCTCTCAAAAGGAGTGTTCAACTCCGTGAGTTGAATGCAGTCATCACAGAGAAGCTTCTGAGAATGCTTCTATCTAGTATTTAGGTGAAGATATTTCCTTTTCCACCACAAACCACAAAGCCCTCCAAACGTCCACTTGCAGATTCTAGAAAAAGAGTGTTTCATAGCTGCTCTTTCCAAAGGAAATTTCAAGTCTGGGAGTTGAATACAAACGTCACCAAAAAGTTCCTGAGAATGCATCTGTCTAGCTTTTCTATGGAGCTATTCCCTTTACTACCATAGGCCTCAAAGCGCTCCAAATCTCCACTTGCACATTCCACAACAAGAGTGTTTCCAAACTGCTCTATCAATAGGAATGTTCAACTCTGTGAGGTGAATGCAATCATCACAAAGCAGTTTCTGAGAATGCTTCCGTTTAGTTAGGTGCAGTTATCGCGTTTCCAACGAAATCCTCAGAGAGGTCCAAATATCTACTTGTATATTCTACAAAAAGTGTGTCTCAAACCTGCTCCATCCAAAGGAATGTTCAGCTCTGAGAGTTCAACTCAATCATCACAAAGTATTTTCTGAGAATGCTTCTGTCTAGATTTTATGCGAAGATATACCCGTTTCGAACGAAGGCCACAGAGTGGTCCAAATAGCCACTTGCAGATCCTACAGAAAGAGTGTTTCAAACCTGAACTATCAAAGGAAGGTTCAACTCTGGGATTTGAATGCAAACATCACCAAGAAGTTTCTGAGAATGCTTCTGTTTAGTTTTTATGTGAAGATATTCCCGTTTCCAAAGACATCTTCGGAGAGGTCCACATATCCACTTGCAGATTCCACAAAAAGAGAGTTTCAACACTGCTCTATCCATAGGAGGGTTCAACTCTGTGAGTTGAATGCAATCATCACAGAGAAGTTTCTGAGAAGGCTTCTCTCCAGTTTTTATGTGACCATAATTCGTTTTCCACCACAGGCCTGAAAGCGCTCCAAATGTCCACTTGCAGACACTACGAAAAGCATGTTTCAGAACTACTCTATGAAAAGCAACGTGAAACTCTGGGAGTTGAACACAAACATCACAGAGAAGTTTCTGAGAATGCTTCTGTTTTAGTTCTGTGCGTTTTATCCCGTTTCCAACGAAATCCTCAGAGAGGCCCAAATATCCACTTGCAGATTCCACAGAAAGAGTGATTGGAAACTGCTGTTTGAAAAGGAACCTTCAACTCTGTGAGTTGAATGCAATCATCACAAAGAAGTTTCTGACAATGCTTCTATCTAGCTTTTACGGGAAGATAATTCCTTTTCCACCACAGGCCTCAAAGCCCTCCAAATGTCCACTTGCAGATTCTGGAAAAAGAGTGTTTCAAAGCTTCTCTCTCGAAAGGAAAGTTCAACTCTGTGAGTTGAATGCAAGCATCACAAAGAAGTTTCTGAGAATGCTACTGTCTAGCTTTTATATGAAGCTATTTCCTTTACTACCATAGGCCTCAAAGCGGTCCATATCTCCACTTGCAGATTCTACACAAAGAGAGTTTCCAAACTGCTCTGTCAAAGGGAATGTTCAACTCTGTGACTTGAATGCAATCATCACAAAGTAGTTTCTGAGAATGCTTCTGTTTAGTTCTGTGCGGTTTATCCCGTTTCCAACGAAATCCTCAGAGAGGCCCACATATCCACTTGCACATTCTACAAATAGTGTGTTTCGAAACTGCTCCATCCAAAGGAATGTTCAGCTCTGTGAGTTAAACTCAGTCGTCACCAAGAGTTTTCTGTGAATGCTTCTGTTTTAGTTCTGTGCGGTTTATCCCGTTTCCAACGAAATCCTCAGAGAGGTCCAAATATCTACTTGCAGTTTCTACAGAAAGACCGTTTCAAACCTGAACTATCAAAGAAAGGTTCAACACTGTGATTTGAATGCAAACATCACGAAGAAGGTTCTGAGAATGCTTCTGTTTAGTTCTGTGCGGTTTATCCCGTTTCCAACGAAATCCTCAGAGAGGACCAAATATCCACTTGCAGTTTCTACAAAAAGAGTGTTTCAAAGCTGAACTATCAAAGAAAGGTTCAGCACCGTGAGTTGAATGCAAACATCACGAAGAGGGTTCTGAGATTGCTTCTGTCTTCTTTCTATAGGAAGTTATTTCCTTTACTACGGTAGGCCTCAAAGAAGTGCAATTATCCCCTTGCAGTTTCTACAAAAAGAGTGTTTCAAACCTGAACTATCAAAGAAAGGTTCCACACTGTGAGTTGAATGCAGACATCACGAAGAAGGTTCTGAGAATGCTTCTGTTTAGTCAGCTGAAATTATCCCGTTTCCAACGAATTCCTCAGAGAGGTCCAAATATGCACTTGCAGATTCTGCAGAAAGTGTGTTTCTAAACTGCTACATCGCAAGGAATGTTCAGCTCTGTGAGTTCCACTCAATCATCCCAAAGAATTTTCTGAGAAAGCTTCTGTCTAGATGTCATGTGAAGATATACCCGTTTCGAACGAAGGACACAGAGTGGTAAAAATATCCACTTGTAGATCCTGCAAAAAGAGTGTTTCAAACGTGAACTTTGAAAGGAAAGTTCAACTCTGGGATTTGAATGCAAACATCACAAAGAAGATTCTGAGACTGCTTCTGTATAGTTTTTATGTGAAGATGATTCCGTTTCCAACGAAATCTTCAAAGAGGTCTACATGTCCCCTTGCAGATGCCACAGAAAGAGAGTTTCAAAACTGCGCTCTCAAAAGGAGTGTTCAACTCCGTGAGTTGAATGCAGTCATCACAGAGAAGCTTCTGAGAATGCTTCTATCTAGTATTTAGGTGAAGATATTTCCTTTTCCACCACAAACCACAAAGCCCTCCAAACGTCCACTTGCAGATTCTAGAAAAAGTGTGTTTCATAGCTGCTCTTTCCAAAGGAAAGTTCAACTCTGGGAGTTGAATACAAACATCACCAAAAAGTTCCTGAGAATGCATCTGTCTAGTTTTTCTATGAAGCTATTCCCTTTAGTACCATAGGCCTCAAAGCGCTCCAAATCTCCACTTGCACATTCCACAAGAAGAGTGTTTCCAAACTGCTCTATCAATAGGAATTTTCAACTCTGTGAGGTGAATGCAATCATCACAAAGCAGTTTCTGAGAATGCTTCCGTTTAGTTAGGTGCAGTTATCCCGTTTCCAACGAAATCCTCAGAGAGGTCCAAATATCCACTTGTAGATTCTACAAAAAGTGTGTCTCAAACCTGCTCCATCCAAAGGAATGTTCAGCTCTGTGAGTTCAACCCAATCATCACAAAGTATTTTCTGAGAATGCTTCTGTCTAGATTTTATGTGAAGATGTACCTGTTTCGAACGAAGGCCACAGAGTGGTCCAAATATCCACTTGCAGATCCTACAAAAAGAGTGTTGCAAACCTGAACTATCAAAGGAAGGTTCAACTCTGGGATTTGAATGCAAACATCACCAAGAAGTTTCTGAGAATGCTTCTGTTTAGTTTTTATGTGAAGATATTCCCGTTTCCAAAGACATCTTCGGAGAGGTCCACATATCCACTTGCAGATTCCACAAAAAGAGAGTTTCAACAATGCTCTATCCATAGGAGGGTTCAACTCTGTGAGTTGAATGCAATCATCACAGAGAAGTTTCTGAGAAGGCTTCTCTCCAGTTTTTATGGGACCATAATTCGTTTTCCACCACAGGCCTGAAAGCGCTCCAAATGTCCACTTGCAGACACTACGAAAAGCATGTTTCAGAACTACTCTATGAAAAGCAATGTGAAACTCTGGGAGTTGAACACAAACATCACAGAGAAGTTTCTGAGAATGCTTCTGTTTAGCTTTTCTGTGAAGATTCTCCCGTTTCCAACGAAATCTTCAAAGAGGTCCAAATATCCACTTGCAAATTCCACAGAAAGAGTGTTTGGAAACTGCTGTTTGTAAAGGAACCTTCATCTCTGTGAGTTGAATGCAATCATCACAAAGAAGTTTCTGACAATGCTTCTATCTAGCTTTTACGGGAAGATAATTCCTTTTCCACCACAGGCCTCAAAGCCCTCCAAATGTCCACTTGCAGATTCTGGAAAAAGAGTGTTTCAAAGCTTCTCTCTCGAAAGGAAAGTTCAACTCTGTGAGTTGAATGCAAGCATCACAAAGAAGTTTCTGAGAATGCTACTGTCTAGCTTTTATATGAAGCTATTTCCTTTACTACCATAGGCCTCAAAGCGGTCCATATCTCCACTTGCAGATTCTACACAAAGAGAGTTTCCAAACTGCTCTGTCAAAGGGAATGTTCAACTCTGTGACTTGAATGCAATCATCACAAAGTAGTTTCTGAGAATGCTTCTGTTTAGTTCTGTGCGGTTTATCCCGTTTCCAACGAAATCCTCAGAGAGGCCCCAATATCCACTTGCACATTCTACAAATAGTGTGTTTCGAAACTGCTCCATCCAAAGGGATGTTCAGCTCTGTGAGTTAAACTCAGTCGTCACCAAGAGTTTTCTGTGAATGCTTCTGTTTTAGTTCTGTTCGGTTTATCCCGTTTCCAACGAAATCCTCAGAGAGGTCCAAATATCTACTTGCAGTTTCTACAGAAAGACCGTTTCAAACCTGAACTATCAAAGAAAGGTTCAACACTGTGAGTTGAATGCAAACATCACGAAGAAGGTTCTGAGAATGCTTCTGTTTAGTTCTGTGCGGTTTATCCCGTTTCCAACGAAATCCTCAGAGAGGACCAAATATCCACTTGCAGTTTCTACAAGAAGAGTGTTTCAAAGCTGAACTATCAAAGAAAGGTTCAGCACTGTGAGTTGAATGCAAACATCACGAAGAGGGTTCTGAGAATGCTTCTGTCTTCTTTCTATAGGAAGTTATTTCCTTTACTACGGTAGGCCTCAAAGAAGTGCAATTATCCCCTTGCAGTTTCTACAAAAAGAGTGTTTCAAACCTGAACTATCAAAGAAAGGTTCCACACTGTGAGTTGAATGCAGACATCACGAAGAAGGTTCTGAGAATGCTTCTGTTTAGTCAGCTGAAATTATCCCGTTTCCAACGAATTCCTCAGAGAGGTCCACATATGCACTTGCAGATTCTGCAGAAAGTGTGTTTCTAAACTGCTACATCGCAAGGAGTGTTCAGCTCTGTTTGCTCAACTCAATCATCCCAAAGAATTTTCTGAGAAAGCTTCTGTCTAGATGTCATGTGAAGATATACCCGTTTCGAACGAAGGACACAGAGTGGTCCAAATATCCACTTGTAGATCCTGCAAAAAGAGTGTTTCAAACGTGAACTTTGAAAGGCAAGTTCAACTCTGGGATTTGAATGCAAACATCACAAAGAAGATTCTGAGACTGCTTCTGTATAGTTTTGATGTGAAGATGATTCCGTTTCCAACGAAATCTTCAAAGAGGTCTACATGTCCCCTTGCAGATGCCACAGAAAGAGAGTTTCAAAACTGCGCTCTCAAAAGGAGTGTTCAACTCCGTGAGTTGAATGCAGTCATCACAGAGAAGCTTCTGAGAATGCTTCTATCTAGTATTTAGGTGAAGATATTTCCTTTTCCACCACAAACCACAAAGCCCTCCAAACGTCCACTTGCAGATTCTAGAAAAACAGTGTTTCATAGCTGCTCTTTCCAAAGGAAAGTTCAACTCTGGGAGTTGAATACAAACATCACCAAAAAGTTCCTGAGAATGCATCTGTCTAGTTTTTCTATGAAGCTATTCCCTTTACTACTATAGGCCTCAAAGCGCTCCAAATCTCCACTTGCACATTCCACAACAAGAGTGTTTCCAAACTGCTCTATCAATAGGAATGTTCAACTCTGTGAGGTGAATGCAATCATCACAAAGCAGTTTCTGAGAATGCTTCCGTTTAGTTAGGTGCAGTTATCCCGTTTCCAACGAAATCCTCAGAGAGGTCCAAATATCCACTTGTAGATTCTACAAAAAGTGTGTCTCAAACCTGCTCCATCCAAAGGAATGTTCAGCTCTGTGAGTTCAACTCAATCATCACAAAGTATTTTCTGAGAATGCTTCTGTCTAGATTTTATGCGAAGATGTACCCGTTTCGAACGAAGGCCACAGAGTGGTCCAAATATCCACTTGCAGATCCTACAAAAAGAGTGTTTCAAACCTGAACTATCAAAGGAAGGTTCAACTCTGGGATTTGAATGCAAACATCACCAAGAAGTTTCTGAGAATGCTTCTGTTTAGTTTTTATGTGAAGATATTCCCGTTTCCAAAGACATCTTCGGAGAGGTCCACATATCAACTTGCAGATTCCACAAAAAGAGAGTTTCAACACTGCTCTATCCATAGGAGGGTTCAACTCTGTGAGTTGAATGCAATCATCACAGAGAAGTTTCTGAGAAGGCTTCTCTCCAGTTTTTATGTGACCATAATTCGTTTTCCACCACAGGCCTGAAAGCGCTCCAAATGTCCACTTGCAGACACTACGAAAAGCATGTTTCAGAACTACTCTATGAAAAGCAACGTGAAACTCTGGGAGTTGAACACAAACATCACAGAGAAGTTTCTGAGAATGCTTCTGTTTTAGTTCTGTGCGTTTTATCCCGTTTCCAACGAAATCCTCAGAGAGGCCCAAATATCCACTTGCAGATTCCACAGAAAGAGTGATTGGAAACTGCTGTTTGAAAAGGAACCTTCAACTCTGTGAGTTGAATGCAATCATCACAAAGAAGTTTCTGACAATGCTTCTATCTAGCTTTTACGGGAAGATAATTCCTTTTCCACCACAGGCCTCAAAGCCCTCCAAATGTCCACTTGCAGATTCTGGAAAAAGAGTGTTTCAAAGCTTCTCTCTCGAAAGGAAAGTTCAACTCTGTGAGTTGAATGCAAGCATCACAAAGAAGTTTCTGAGAATGCTACTGTCTAGCTTTTATATGAAGCTATTTCCTTTACTACCATAGGCCTCAAAGCGGTCCATATCTCCACTTGCAGATTCTACACAAAGAGAGTTTCCAAACTGCTCTGTCAAAGGGAATGTTCAACTCTGTGACTTGAATGCAATCATCACAAAGTAGTTTCTGAGAATGCTTCTGTTTACTTCTGTGCGGTTTATCCCGTTTCCAACGAAATCCTCAGAGAGGCCCAAATATCCACTTGCAGATTCTACAAATAGTGTGTTTCGAAACTGCTCCATCCAAAGGAATGTTCAGCTCTGTGAGTTAAACTCAGTCGTCACCAAGAGTTTTCTGTGAATGCTTCTGTTTTAGTTCTGTGCGGGTTATCCCGTTTCCAACGAAATCCTCAGAGAGGTCCAAATATCTACTTGCAGTTTCTACAGAAAGACCGTTTCAAACCTGAACTATCAAAGAAAGGTTCAACACTGTGAGTTGAATGCAAACATCACGAAGAAGGTTCTGAGAATGCTTCTGTTTTAGTTCTGTGCGGTTTATCCCGTTTCCAACGAAATCCTCAGAGAGGACCAAATATCCACTTGCAGTTTCTACAAAAAGAGTGTTTCAAAGCTGCACTATCAAAGAAAGGTTCAGCACTGTGAGTTGAATGCAAACATCACGAAGAGGGCTCTGAGAATTCTTCTGTCTTCTTTCTATAGGAAGTTATTTCCTTTACTACGGTAGGCCTCAAAGAAGTGCAATTATCCCCTTGCAGTTTCTACAAAAAGAGTGTTTCAAACCTGAACTATCAAAGAAAGGTTCCACACTGTGAGTTGAATGCAGACATCACGAAGAAGGTTCTGAGAATGCTTCTGTTTAGTCAGCTGAAATTATCCCGTTTCCAACGAATTCCTCAGAGAGGTCCAAATATGCACTTGCAGATTCTGCAGAAAGTGTGTTTCTAAACTGCTACATCGCAAGGAATGTTCAGCTCTGTGAGTTCCACTCAATCATCCCAAAGAATTTTCTGAGAAAGCTTCTGTCTAGATGTCGTGTGAAGATATACCCGTTTCGAACGAAGGACACAGAGTGGTCCAAATATCCACTTGTAGATCCTGCAAAAAGAGTGTTTCAAACGTGAACTTTGAAAGGAAAGTTCAACTCTGGGATTTGAATGCAAACATCACAAAGAAGATTCTGAGACTGCTTCTGTATAGTTTTTATGTGAAGATGATTCCGTTTCCAACGAAATCTTCAAAGAGGTCTACATGTCCCCTTGCAGATGCCACAGAAAGAGAGTTTCAAAACTGCGCTCTCAAAAGGAGTGTTCAACTCCGTGAGTTGAATGCAGTCATCACAGAGAAGCTTCTGAGAATGCTTCTATCTAGTATTTAGGTGAAGATATTTCCTTTTCCACCACAAACCACAAAGCCCTCCAAACGTCCACTTGCAGATTCTAGAAAAAGAGTGTTTCATAGCTGCTCTTTCCAAAGGAAAGTTCAACTCTGGGAGTTGAATACAAACATCACCAAAAAGTTCCTGAGAATGCATCTGTCTAGTTTTTCTATGAAGCTATTCCCTTTACTACCATAGGCCTCAAAGCGCTCCAAATCTCCACTTGCACATTCCACAACAAGAGTGTTTCCAAACTGCTCTATCAATAGGAATGTTCAACTCTGTGAGGTGAATGCAATCATCACAAAGCAGTTTCTGAGAATGCTTCCACTTAGTAAGGTGCAGTTATCCCGTTTCCAACGATATCCTCAGAGAGGTCCAAATATCCACTTGTAGATTCTACAAAAAGTGTGTCTCAAGCCTGCTCCATCCAAAGGAATGTTCAGCTCTGTGAGTTAAAGTCAATCATCACAAAGTATTTTCTGAGAATGCTTCTGTCTAGATTTTATGCGAAGATGTACCCGTTTCGAATGAAGGCCACAGAGTGGTCCAAATATCCACTTGCAGATCCTACAAAAAGAGTGTTTCAAACCTGAACTATCAAAGGAAGGTTCAACTCTGGGATTTGAATGCAAACATCACCAAGAAGTTTCTGAGAGTGCTTCTGTTTAGTTTTTATGTGAAGATAGTCCCGTTTCCAAAGACATCTTCGGAGAGGTCCACATATCCACTTGCAGATTCCACAAAAAGAGAGTTTCAACACTGCTCTATCCATAGGAGGGTTCAACTCTGTGAGTTGAATGCAATCATCACAGAGAAGTTTCTGAGAAGGCTTCTCTCCAGTTTTTATGTGACCATAATTCGTTTTCCACCACAGGCCTGAAAGTGCTCCAAATGTCCACTTGCAGACACTACGAAAAGCATGTTTCAGAACTACTCTATGAAAAGCAATGTGAAACTCTGGGAGTTGAACACAAATATCAGAGAGAAGTTTCTGAGAATGCTTCTGTTTTAGTTCTGTGCGTTTTATCCCGTTTCCAACGAAATCCTCAGAGAGGCCCAAATATCCACTTGCAGATTCCACAGAAAGAGTGATTGGAAACTGCTGTTTGAAAAGGAACCTTCAACTCTGTGAGTTGAATGCAATCATCACAAAGAAGTTTCTGACAATGCTTCTATCTAGCTTTTACGGGAAGATAATTCCTTTTCCACCACAGGCCTCAAAGCTCCCCAAATGTCCACTTGCACATTCTGGAAAAAGAGTGTTTCAAAGCTTCTCTCTCGAAAGGAAAGTTCAACTCTGTGAGTTGAATGCAAGCATCACAAAGAAGTTTCTGAGAATGCTACTGTCTAGCTTTTATATGAAGCTATTTCCTTTACTACCATAGGCCTCAAAGCGGTCCATATCTCCACTTGCAGATTCTACACAAAGAGAGTTTCCAAACTGCTCTGTCAAAGGGAATGTTCAACTCTGTGACTTGAATGCAATCATCACAAAGTAGTTTCTGAGAATGCTTCTGTTTAGTTCTGTGCGGTTTATCCCGTTTCCAACGAAATCCTCAGAGAGGCCCAAATATCCACTTGCACATTCTACAAATAGTGTGTTTCGAAACTGCTCCATCCAAAGGAATGTTCAGCTCTGTGAGTTAAACTCAGTCGTCACCAAGAGTTTTCTGTGAATGCTTCTGTTTTAGTTCTGTGCGGTTTATCCCGTTTCCAACGAAATCCTCAGAGAGGTCCAAATATCTACTTGCAGTTTCTACAGAAAGACCGTTTCCAACCTGAACTATCAAAGAAAGGTTCAACACTGTGAGTTGAATGCAAACATCACGAAGAAGGTTCTGAGAATGCTTCTGTTTTAGTTCTGTGCGGTTTATCCCGTTTCCAACGAAATCCTCAGAGAGGACCAAACATCCACTTGCAGTTTCTACAAAAAGAGTGTTTCAAAGCTGCACTATCAAAGAAAGGTTCAGCACTGTGAGTTGAATGCAAACATCACGAAGAGGGCTCTGAGAATTCTTCTGTCTTCTTTTTATAGGAAGTTATTTCCTTTACTACGGTACTCCTCAAAGAGTGCAATTATCCCCTTGCAGTTTCTACAAAAAGAGTGTTTCAAACCTGAACTATCAAAGAAAGGTTCCACACTGTGAGTTGAATGCAGACATCACGAAGAAGGTTCTGAGAATGCTTCTGTTTAGTCAGCTGAAATTATCCCGTTTCCAACGAATTCCTCACAGAGGTCCAAATATGCACTTGCAGATTCTGCAGAAAGTGTGTTTCTAAACTGCTACATCGCAAGGAATGCTCAGCTCTGTGAGTTCAACTCAATCATCCCAAAGAATTTTCTGAGAAAGCTTCTGTCTAGATGTCCTGTGAAGATATACCCGTTTCGAACGAAGGACACAGAGTGGTCCAAATATCCACTTGTAGATCCTGCAAAAAGAGTGTTTCAAACGTGAACTTTGAAAGGAAAGTTCAACTCTGGGATTTGAATGCAAACATCACAAAGAAGATTCTGAGACTGCTTCTGTATAGTTTTTATGTGAAGATGATTCCGTTTCCAACGAAATCTTCAAAGAGGTCTACATGTCCCCTTGCAGATGCCACAGAAAGAGAGTTTCAAAACTGCGCTCTCAAAAGGAGTGTTCAACTCCGTGAGTTGAATGCAGTCATCACAGAGAAGCTTCTGAGAATGCTTCTATCCAGTATTTAGGTGAAGATATTTCCTTTTCCACCACAAACCACAAAGCCCTCCAAACGTCCACTTGCAGATTCTAGAAAAAGAGTGTTTCATAGCTGCTCTTTCCAAAGGAAAGTTCAACTCTGGGAGTTGAATACAAACATCACCAAAAAGTTCCTGAGAATGCATCTGTCTAGATTTTATGTGAAGATGTACCCGTTTCGAACGAAGGCCACAGAGTGGTCCAAATATCCACTTGCAGATCCTACAAAAAGAGTGTTTCAAACCTGAACTATCACAGGAAGGTTCAACAGTGGGATTTGAATGCAAACATCACCAAGAAGTTTCTGAGAATGCTTCTGTTTAGTTTTTATGTGAAGATATTCCCGTTTCCAAAGACATCTTCGGAGAGGTCCACATATCCACTTGCAGATTCCACAAAAAGAGAGTTTCAACACTGCTCTATCCATAGGAGGGTTCAACTCTGTGAGTTGAATGCAATCATCACAGAGAAGTTTCTGAGAAGGCTTCTCTCCAGTTTTTATGTGACCATAATTCGTTTTCCACCACAGGCCTGAAAGCGCTCCAAATGTCCACTTGCAGACACTACGAAAAGCATGTTTCAGAACTACTCTATGAAAAGCAACGTGAAACTCTGGGAGTTGAACACAAACATCACAGAGAAGTTTCTGAGAATGCTTCTGTTTAGCTTTTCTGTGAAGATTCTCCCGTTTCCAACGAAATCTTCAAAGAGGTCGAAATATCCACTTGCAGATTCCACAGAAAGAGTGATTGGAAACTGCTGTTTGAAAAGGAACCTTCAACTCCTGTGAGTTGAATGCAATCATCACAAAGAAGTTTCTGACAATGCTTCTATCTAGCTTTTACGGGAAGATAATTCCTTTTCCACCACAGGCCTCAAAGCCCTCCAAATGTCCACTTGCAGATTCTGGAAAAAGAGTGTTTCAAAGCTTCTCTCTCGAAAGGAAAGTTCAACTCTGTGAGTTGAATGCAAGCATCACAAAGAAGTTTCTGAGAATGCTACTGTCTAGCTTTTATATGAAGCTATTTCCTTTACTACCATAGTCCTCAAAGCATTCCATATCTCCACTTGCAGATTTTACACAAAGAGAGTTTCCAAACTGCTCTGTCAAAGGGAATGTTCAGCTCTGTGACTTGAATGCAATCATCACAAAGTAGTTTCTCAGAATGCTTCTGTTTTAGTTCTGTGCGGTTTATCCCGTTTCCATCGAAATCCTCAGAGAGGCCCAAATATCCACTTGCAGATTCTACAAATAGTGTGTTTCGAAACTGCTCCATCCAAAGGAATGTTCAGCTCTGTGAGTTAAACTCAGACGTCACCAAGAGTTTTCTGTGAATGCTTCTGTTTTAGTTCTGTGCGGGTTATCCCGTTTCCAACGAAATCCTCAGAGAGGTCCAAATATCTACTTGCAGTTTCTACAGAAAGACCGTTTCAAACCTGAACTATCAAAGAAAGGTTCAACACTGTGAGTTGAATGCAAACATCACGAAGAAGGTTCTGAGAATGCTTCTGTTTAGTTCTGTGCGGTTTATCCCGTTTCTAAAGAAATCCTCAGAGAGGACCAAATATCCACTTGCAGTTTCTACAAAAAGAGTGTTTCAAAGCTGAACTATCCAAGAAAGGTTCAGCACCGTGAGTTGAATGCAAACATCACGGAGAGGGTTCTGAGAATGCTTCTGTCTTCTTTCTATAGGAAGTTATTTCCTTTACTACGGTAGGCCTCAAAGAAGTGCAATTATCCCCTTGCAGTTTCTACAAAAAGAGTGTTTCAAACCTGAACTATCAAAGAAAGGTTCCACACTGTGAGTTGAATGCAGACATCACGAAGAAGGTTCTGAGAATGCTTCGGTTTAGTCAGCTGAAATTATCCCGTTTCCAACGAATTCCTCAGAGAGGTCCAAATATGCACTTGCAGATTCTGCAGAAAGTGTGTTTCTAAACTGCTACATCGCAAGGAATGTTCAGCTCTGTGAGTTCAACTCAATCATCCCAAAGAATTTTCTGAGAAAGCTTCTGTCTAGATGTCATGTGAAGATATACCCGTTTCGAACGAAGGACACAGAGTGGTCCAAATATCCACTTGTAGATCCTGCAAAAAGAGTGCTTCAAACGTGAACTTTGAAAGGAAAGTTCAACTCTGGGATTTGAATACAAACATCACAAAGAAGATTCTGAGACTGTTTCTGTATAGTTTTTATGTGAAGATGATTCCGTTTCCAACGAAATCTTCAAAGAGGTCTACATGTCCCCTTGCAGATGCCACAGAAAGTGAGTTTCAAAACTGCGCTCTCAAAAGGAGTGTTCAACTCCGTGAGTTGAATGCAGTCATCACAGAGAAGCTTCTGAGAATGCTTCTATCTAGTATTTAGGTGAAGATATTTCCTTTTCCACCACAAACCACAAAGCCCTCCAAACGTCCACTTGCAGATTCTAGAAAAAGAGTGTTTCATAGCTGCTCTTTCCAAAGGAAAGTTCAACTCTGGGAGTTGAATACAAACATCACCAAAAAGTTCCTGAGAATGCATCTGTCTAGTTTTTCTATGAAGCTATTCCCTTTACTACCATAGGCCTCAAAGCGCTCCAAATCTCCACTTGCACATTCCACAACAAGAGTGTTTCCAAACTGCTCTATCAATAGGAATGTTCAACTCTGTGAGGTGAATGCAATCATCACAAAGCAGTTTCTGAGAATGCTTCCGTTTAGTTAGGTGCAGTTATCCCGTTTCCAACGAAATCCTCAGAGAGGTCCAAATATCCACTTGTAGATTCTACAAAAAGTGTGTCTCAAACCTGCTCCATCCAAAGGAATGGTCAGCTCTGTGATTTAAACTCAATCATCACAAAGTATTTTCTGAGAATGCTTCTGTCTAGATTTTATGTGAAGATGTACCCGTTTCGAACGAAGGCCACAGAGTGGTCCAAATATCCACTTGCAGATCCTACAAAAAGAGTGTTTCAAACCTGAACTATCACAGGAAGGTTCAACTCTGGGATTTGAATGCAAACATCACCAAGAAGTTTCTGAGAATGCTTCTGTTTAGTTTTTATGTGAAGATATTCCCGTTTCCAAAGACATCTTCGGAGAGGTCCACATATCCACTTGCAGATTCCACAAAAAGAGAGTTTCAAGAATGCTCTATCCATAGGAGGGTTCAAATCTGTGAGTTGAATGCAATCATCACAGAGAAGTTTCTGAGAAGGCTTCTCTCCAGTTTTTATGTGACCATAATTCGTTTTCCACCACAGGCCTGAAAGCGCTCCAAATGTCCACTTGTAGACACTACGAAAAGCATGTTTCAGAACTACTCTATGAAAAGCAATGTGAAACTCTGGGAGTTGAACACAAACATCACAGAGAAGTTTCTGAGAATGCTTCTGTTTTAGTTCTGTGCGTTTTATCCCGTTTCCAACGAAATCCTCAGAGAGGCCCAAATATCCACTTGCAGATTCCACAGAAAGAGTGATTGGAAACTGCTGTTTGAAAAGGAACCTTCAACTACTGTGAGTTGAATGCAATCATCACAAAGAAGTTTCTGACAATGCTTCTATCTAGCTTTTACGGGAAGATAATTCCTTTTCCACCACAGGCCTCAAAGCCCTCCAAATGTCCACTTGCAGATTCCGGAAAAAGAGTGTTTCAAAGCTTCTCTCTCGAAAGGAAAGTTCAACTCTGTGAGTTGAATGCAAGCATCACAAAGAAGTTTCTGAGAATGCTACTGTCTAGCTTTTATATGAAGCTATTTCCTTTACTACCATAGGCCTCAAAGCGGTCCATATCTCCACTTGCAGATTCTACACAAAGAGAGTTTCCAAACTGCTCTGTCAAAGGGAATGTTCAACTCTGTGACTTGAATGCAATCATCACAAAGTAGTTTCTGAGAATGCTTCTGTTTTAGTTCTGTGCGGTTTATCCCGTTTCCAACGAAATCCTCAGAGAGGCCCAAATATCCACTTGCACATTCTACAAAGAGTGTGTTTCGAAACTGCTCCATCCAAAGGAATGTTCAGCTCTGTGAGTTAAACTCAGTCGTCACCAAGAGTTTTCTGTGAATGCTTCTGTTTTAGTTCTGTGCGGGTTATCCCGTTTCCAACGAAATCCTCAGAGAGGTCCAAATATCTACTTGCAGTTTCTACAGAAAGACCGTTTCAAACCTGAACTATCAAAGAAAGGTTCAACACTGTGAGTTGAATGCAAACATCACGAAGAAGGTTCTGAGAATGCTTCTGTTTTAGTTCTGTGCGGTTTATCCCGTTTCCAACGAAATCCTCAGAGAGGACCAAACATCCACTTGCAGTTTCTACAAAAAGAGTGTTTCAAAGCTGCACTATCAAAGAAAGGTTCAGCACTGTGAGTTGAATGCAAACATCACGAAGAGGGCTCTGAGAATTCTTCTGTCTTCTTTTTATAGGAAGTTATTTCCTTTACTACGGTAGGCTTCAAAGAAGTGCAATTATCCCCTTGCAGTTTCTACAAAAAGAGTGATTCAAACCTGAACTATCAAAGAAAGGTTCCACACTGTGAGTTGAATGCAGACATCACGAAGAAGGTTCTGAGAATGCTTCTGTTTAGTCAGCTGAAATTATCCCGTTTCCAACGAATTCCTCAGAGAGGTCCACATATGCACTTGCAGATTCTGCAGAAAGTGTGTTTCTAAACTGCTACATCGCAAGGAGTGTTCAGCTCTGTTTGCTCAACTCAATCATCCCAAAGAATTTTCTGAGAAAGCTTCTGTCTAGATGTCGTGTGAAGATATACCCGTTTCGAACGAAGGACACAGAGTGGTCCAAATATCCACTTGTAGATCCTGCAAAAAGAGTGTTTCAAACGTGAACTTTGAAAGGAAAGTTCAACTCTGGGATTTGAATGCAAACATCACAAAGAAGATTCTGAGACTGCTTCTGTATAGTTTTTATGTGAAGATGATTCCGTTTCCAACGAAATCTTCAAAGAGGTCTACATGTCCCCTTGCAGATGCCACAGAAAGAGAGTTTCAAAACTGCGCTCTCAAAAGGAGTGTTCAACTCCGTGAGTTGAATGCAGTCATCACAGAGAAGCTTCTGAGGATGCTTCTATCTAGTATTTAGGTGAAGATATTTCCTTTTCCACCACAAACCACAAAGCCCTCCAAACGTCCACTTGCAGATTCTAGAAAAAGAGTGTTTCATAGCTGCTCTTTCCAAAGGAAAGTTCAACTCTGGGAGTTGAATACAAACATCACCAAAAAGTTCCTGAGAATGCATCTGTCTAGTTTTTCTATGAAGCTATTCCCTTTACTACCATAGGCCTCAAAGCGCTCCAAATCTCCACTTGCACATTCCACAACAATAGTGTTTCCAAACTGCTCTATCAATAGGAATGGTCAACTCTGTGAGGTGAATGCAATCATCACAAAGCAGTTTCTGAGAATGCTTCCGTTTAGTTAGGTGCAGTTATCCGGTTTCCAACGAAATCCTCAGAGAGGTCCAAATATCCACTTGTAGATTCTACAAAAAGTGTGTCTCAAACCTGCTCCATCCAAAGGAATGTTCAGCTCTGTGAGTTCAACGCAATCATCACAAAGTATTTTCTGAGAATGCTTCTGTCTAGATTTTATGCGAAGATGTACCCGTTTCGAACGAAGGCCACAGAGTGGTCCAAATATCCACTTGCAGATCCTACAAAAAGAGTGTTTCAAACCTGAACTATCAAAGGAAGGTTCAACTCTGGGGTTTGAATGCCAACATCACCAAGAAGTTTCTGAGAATGCTTCTGTTTAGTTTTTATGTGAAGATATTCCCGTTTCCAAAGACATCTTCGGAGAGGTCCACATATCCACTTGCAGATTCCACAAAAAGAGAGTTTCAACACTGCTCTATCCATAGGAGGGTTCAACTCTGTGAGTTGAATGCAATCATCACAGAGAAGTTTCTGAGAAGGCTTCTCTCCAGTTTTTATGTGACCATAATTCGTTTTCCACCACAGGCCTGAAAGCGCTCCAAATGTCCACTTGCAGACACTACGAAAAGCATGTTTCAGAACTACTCTATGAATAGCAATGTGAAACTCTGGGAGTTGAACACAAACATCACAGAGAAGTTTCTGAGAATGCTTCTGTTTTAGTTCTGTGCGTTTTATCCCGTTTCCAACGAAATCCTCAGAGAGGCCCAAATATCCACTTGCAGATTCCACAGAAAGAGTGATTGGAAACTGCTGTTTGAAAAGGAACCTTCAACTCTGTGAGTTGAATGCAATCATCACAAAGAAGTTTCTGACAATGCTTCTATCTAGCTTTTACGGGAAGATAATTCCTTTTCCACCACAGGCCTCAAAGCCCTCCAAATGTCCACTTGCAGATTCTGGAAAAAGAGTGTTTCAAAGCTTCTCTCTCGAAAGGAAAGTTCAACTCTGTGAGTTGAATGCAAGCATCACAAAGAAGTTTCTGAGAATGCTACTGTCTAGCTTTTATATGAAGCTATTTCCTTTACTACCATAGGCCTCAAAGCGGTCCATATCTCCACTTGCAGATTCTACACAAAGAGAGTTTCCAAACTGCTCTGTCAAAGGGAATGTTCAACTCTGTGACTTGAATGCAATCATCACAAAGTAGTTTCTGAGAATGCTTCTGTTTAGTTCTGTGCGGTTTATCCCGTTTCCAACGAAATCCTCAGAGAGGCCCACATATCCACTTGCACATTCTACAAATAGTGTGTTTCGAAACTGCTCCATCCAAAGGAATGTTCAGCTCTGTGAGTTAAACTCAGTCGTCACCAAGTGTTTTCTGTGAATGCTTCTGTTTTAGTTCTGTGCGGGTTATCCCGTTTCCAACGAAATCCTCAGAGAGGTCCAAATATCTACTTGCAGTTTCTACAGAAAGACCGTTTCAAACCTGAACTATCAAAGAAAGGTTCAACACTGTGAGTTGAATGCAAACATCACGAAGAAGGTTCTGAGAATGCTTCTGTTTTAGTTCTGTGCGGTTTATCCCGTTTCCAACGAAATCCTCAGAGAGGACCAAACATCCACTTGCAGTTTCTACAAAAAGAGTGTTTCAAAGCTGCACTATCAAAGAAAGGTTCAGCACTGTGAGTTGAATGCAAACATCACGAAGAGGGCTCTGAGAATTCTTCTGTCTTCTTTCTATAGGAAGTTATTTCCTTTACTACGGTAGGCCTCAAAGAAGTGCAATTATCCCCTTGCAGTTTCTACAAAAAGAGTGTTTCAAACCTGAACTATCAAAGAAAGGTTCCACACTGTGAGTTGAATGCAGACATCACGAAGAAGGTTCTGAGAATGCTTCTGTTTAGTCAGCTGAAATTATCCCGTTTCCAACGAATTCCTCACAGAGGTCCAAATATGCACTTGCAGATTCTGCAGAAAGTGTGTTTCTAAACTGCTACATCGCAAGGAATGCTCAGCTCTGTGAGTTCAACTCAATCATCCCAAAGAATTTTCTGAGAAAGCTTCTGTCTAGATGTCGTGTGAAGATATACCCGTTTCGAACGAAGGACACAGAGTGGTCCAAATATCCACTTGTAGATCCTGCAAAAAGAGTGTTTCAAACGTGAACTTTGAAAGGAAAGTTCAACTCTGGGATTTGAATGCAAACATCACAAAGAAGATTCTGAGACTGCTTCTGTATAGTTTTTATGTGAAGATGATTCCGTTTCCAACGAAATCTTCAAAGAGGTCTACATGTCCCCTTGCAGATGCCACAGAAAGAGAGTTTCAAAACTGCGCTCTCAAAAGGAGTGTTCAACTCCGTGAGTTGAATGCAGTCATCACAGAGAAGCTTCTGAGAATGCTTCTATCTAGTATTTAGGTGAAGATATTTCCTTTTCCACCACAAACCACAAAGCCCTCCAAACGTCCACTTGCAGATTCTAGAAAAAGAGTGTTTCATAGCTGCTCTTTCCAAAGGAAAGTTCAACTCTGGGAGTTGAATACAAACATCACCAAAAAGTTCCTGAGAATGCATCTGTCTAGTTTTTCTATGAAGCTATTCCCTTTACTACCATAGGCCTCAAAGCACTCCAAATCTCCACTTGCACATTCCACAACAAGAGTGTTTCCAAACTGCTCTATCAATAGGAATGTTCAACTCTGTGAGGTGAATGCAATCATCACAAAGCAGTTTCTGAGAATGCTTCCGTTTAGTTAGGTGCAGTTATCCCGTTTCCAACGAAATCCTCAGAGAGGTCCAAATATCCACTTGTAGATTCTACAAAAAGTGTGTCTCAAACCTGCTCCATCCAAAGGAATGGTCAGCTCTGTGATTTAAACTCAATCATCACAAAGTATTTTCTGAGAATGCTTCTGTCTAGATTTTATGCGAAGATATACCCGTTTCGAACGAAGGCCACAGAGTGGTCCAAATATCCACTTGCAGATCCTACAAAAAGAGTGTTTCAAACCTGAACTATCAAAGGAAGGTTCAACTCTGGGATTTGAATGCAAACATCACCAAGAAGTTTCTGAGAATGCTTCTGTTTAGTTTTTATGTGAAGATATTCCCGTTTCCAAAGACATCTTCGGAGAGGTCCACATATCCACTTGCAGATTCCACAAAAAGAGAGTTTCAACACTGCTCTATCCATAGGAGGTTTCAACTCTGTGAGTTGAATGCAATCATCACAGAGAAGTTTCTGAGAAGGCTTCTCTCCAGTTTTTATGTGACCATAATTCGTTTTCCACCACAGGCCTGAAAGCGCTCCAAATGTCCACTTGCAGACACTACGAAAAGCATGTTTCAGAACTACTCTATGAGAAGCAATGTGAAACTCTGGGAGTTGAACACAAACATCACAGAGAAGTTTCTGAGAATGCTTCTGTTTTAGTTCTGTGCGTTTTATCCCGTTTCCAACGAAATCCTCAGAGAGGCCCAAATATCCACTTGCAGATTCCACAGAAAGAGTGATTGGAAACTGCTGTTTGAAAAGGAACCTTCAACTCTGTGAGTTGAATGCAATCATCACAAAGAAGTTTCTGACAATGCTTCTATCTAGCTTTTACGGGAAGATAATTCCTTTTCCACCACAGGCCTCAAAGCCCTCCAAATGTCCACTTGCAGATTCTGGAAAAAGAGTGTTTCAAAGCTTCTCTCTCGAAAGGAAAGTTCAACTCTGTGAGTTGAATGCAAGCATCACAAAGAAGTTTCTGAGAATGCTACTGTCTAGCTTTTATATGAAGCTATTTCCTTTACTACCATAGGCCTCAAAGCGGTCCATATCTCCACTTGCAGATTCTACACAAAGAGAGTTTCCAAACTGCTCTGTCAAAGGGAATGTTCAACTCTGTGACTTGAATGCAATCATCACAAAGTAGTTTCTGAGAATGCTTCTGTTTTAGTTCTGTGCGGTTTATCCCGTTTCCAACGAAATCCTCAGAGAGGCCCAAATATCCACTTGCACATTCTACAAATAGTGTGTTTCGAAACTGCTCCATCCAAAGGAATGTTCAGCTCTGTGAGTTAAACTCAGTCGTCACCAAGAGTTTTCTGTGAATGCTTCTGTTTTAGTTCTGTGCGGGTTATCCCGTTTCCAACGAAATCCTCAGAGAGGTCCAAATATCTACTTGCAGTTTCTACAGAAAGACCGTTTCAAACCTGAACTATCAAAGAAAGGTTCAACACTGTGAGTTGAATGCAAACATCACGAAGAAGGTTCTGAGAATGCTTCTGTTTTAGTTCTGTGCGGTTTATCCCGTTTCCAACGAAATCCTCAGAGAGGACCAAACATCCACTTGCAGTTTCTACAAAAAGAGTGTTTCAAAGCTGCACTATCAAAGAAAGGTTCAGCACTGTGAGTTGAATGCAAACATCACGAAGAGGGCTCTGAGAATTCTTCTGTCTTCTTTTTATAGGAAGTTATTTCCTTTACTACGGTAGGCCTAAAAGAAGTGCAATTATCCCCTTGCAGTTTCTACAAAAAGAGTGTTTCAAATCTGAACTATCAAAGAAAGGTTCCACACTGTGAGTTGAATGCAGACATCACGAAGAAGGTTCTGAGAATGCTTCTGTTTAGTCAGCTGAAATTATCCCGTTTCCAACGAATTCCTCAGAGAGGTCCAAATATGCACTTGCAGATTCTGCAGAAAGTGTGTTTCTAAACTGCTACATCGCAAGGAATGTTCAGCTCTGTGAGTTCCACTCAATCATCCCAAAGAATTTTCTGAGAAAGCTTCTGTCTAGATGTCATGTGAAGATATACCCGTTTCGAACGAAGGACACAGAGTGGTCCAAATATCCACTTGTAGATCCTGCAAAAAGAGTGTTTCAAACGTGAACTTTGAAAGGAAAGTTCAACTCTGGGATTTGAATGCAAACATCACAAAGAAGATTCTGAGACTGCTTCTGTATAGTTTTTATGTGAAGATGATTCCGTTTCCAACGAAATCTTCAAAGAGGTCTACATGTCCCCTTGCGGATGCCACAGAAAGAGAGTTTCAAAACTGCGCTCTCAAAAGGAGTGTTCAACTCCGTGAGTTGAATGCAGTCATCACAGAGAAGCTTCTGAGAATGCTTCTATCTAGTATTTAGGTGAAGATATTTCCTTTTCCACCACAAACCACAAAGCCCTCCAAACGTCCACTTGCAGATTCTAGAAAAAGAGTGTTTCATAGCTGCTCTTTCCAAAGGAAAGTTCAACTCTGGGAGTTGAATACAAACATCACCAAAAAGTTCCTGAGAATGCATCTATCTAGTTTTTCTATGAAGCTATTCCCTTTACTACCATAGGCCTCAAAGCGCTCCAAATCTCCACTTGCACATTCCACAACAAGAGTGTTTCCAAACTGCTTCTATCAATAGGAATGTTCAACTCTGTGAGGTGAATGCAATCATCACAAAGCAGTTTCTGAGAATGCTTCCGTTTAGTTAGGTGCAGTTATCCCGTTTCCAACGAAATCCTCAGAGAGGTCCAAATATCCACTTGTAGATTCTACAAAAAGTGTGTCTCAAACCTGCTCCATCCAAAGGAATGTTCAGCTCTGTGATTTAAACTCAATCATCACAAAGTATTTTCTGAGAATGCTTCTGTCTAGATTTTATGCGAAGATATACCCGTTTCGAACGAAGGCCACAGAGTGGTCCAAATAGCCACTTGCAGATCCTACAGAAAGAGTGTTTCAAACCTGAACTATCAAAGGAAGGTTCAACTCTGGGATTTGAATGCAAACATCACCAAGAAGTTTCTGAGAATGCTTCTGTTTAGTTTTTATGTGAAGATATTCCCGTTTCCAAAGACATCTTCGGAGAGGTCCACATATCCACTTGCAGATTCCACAAAAAGAGAGTTTCAACACTGCTCTATCCATAGGAGGGTTCAACTCTGTGAGTTGAATGCAATCATCACAGAGAAGTTTCTGAGAAGGCTTCTCTCCAGTTTTTATGTGACCATAATTCGTTTTCCACCACAGGCCTGAAAGCGCTCCAAATGTCCACTTGTAGACACTACGAAAAGCATGTTTCAGAACTACTCTATGAAAAGCAATGTGAAACTCTGGGAGTTGAACACAAACATCACAGAGAAGTTTCTGAGAATGCTTCTGTTTTAGTTCTGTGCGTTTTATCCCGTTTCCAACGAAATCCTCAGAGAGGCCCAAATATCCACTTGCAGATTCCACAGAAAGAGTGATTGGAAACTGCTGTTTGAAAAGGAACCTTCAACTCTGTGAGTTGAATGCAATCATCACAAAGAAGTTTCTGACAATGCTTCTATCTAGCTTTTACGGGAAGATAATTCCTTTTCCACCACAGGCCTCAAAGCTCCCCAAATGTCCACTTGCACATTCTGGAAAAAGAGTGTTTCAAAGCTTCTCTCTCGAAAGGAAAGTTCAACTCTGTGAGTTGAATGCAAGCATCACAAAGAAGTTTCTGAGAATGCTACTGTCTAGCTTTTATATGAAGCTATTTCCTTTACTACCATAGGCCTCAAAGCGGTCCATATCTCCACTTGCAGATTCTACACAAAGAGAGTTTCCAAACTGCTCTGTCAAAGGGAATGTTCAACTCTGTGACTTGAATGCAATCATCACAAAGTAGTTTCTGAGAATGCTTCTGTTTAGTTCTGTGCGGTTTATCCCGTTTCCAACGAAATCCTCAGAGAGGCCCACATATCCACTTGCACATTCTACAAATAGTGTGTTTCGAAACTGCTCCATCCAAAGGAATGTTCAGCTCTGTGAGTTAAACTCAGTCGTCACCAAGAGTTTTCTGTGAATGCTTCTGTTTTAGTTCTGTGCGGTTTATCCCGTTTCCAACGAAATCCTCAGAGAGGTCCAAATATCTACTTGCAGTTTCTACAGAAAGACCGTTTCCAACCTGAACTATCAAAGAAAGGTTCAACACTGTGAGTTGAATGCAAACATCACGAAGAAGGTTCAGAGAATGCTTCTGTTTTAGTTCTGTGCGGTTTATCCCGTTTCCAACGAAATCTTCAGAGAGGACCAAATATCCACTTGCAGTTTCTACAAAAAGAGTGTTTCAAAGCTGCACTATCAAAGAAAGGTTCAGCACTGTGAGTTGAATGCAAACATCACGAAGAGGGTTCTGAGAATTCTTCTGTCTTCTTTCTATAGGAAGTTATTTCCTTTACTACGGTAGGCCTCAAAGAAGTGCAATTATCCCCTTGCAGTTTCTACAAAAAGAGTGTTTCAAACCTGAACTATCAAAGAAAGGTTCCACACTGTGAGTTGAATGCAGACATCACGAAGAAGGTTCTGAGAATGCTTCTGTTTAGTCAGCTGAAATTATCCCGTTTCCAACGAATTCCTCAGAGAGGTCCAAATATGCACTTGCAGATTCTGCAGAAAGTGTGTTTCTAAACTGCTACATCGCAAGGAATGTTCAGCTCTGTGAGTTCCACTCAATCATCCCAAAGAATTTTCTGAGAAAGCTTCTGTCTAGATGTCGTGTGAAGATATACCCGTTTCGAACGAAGGACACAGAGTGGTCCAAATATCCACTTGTAGATCCTGCAAAAAGAGTGTTTCAAACGTGAACTTTGAAAGGAAAGTTCAACTCTGGGATTTGAATGCAAACATCACAAAGAAGATTCTGAGACTGCTTCTGTATAGTTTTTATGTGAAGATGATTCCGTTTCCAACGAAATCTTCAAAGAGGTCTACATGTCCCCTTGCAGATGCCACAGAAAGAGAGTTTCAAAACTGCGCTCTCAAAAGGAGTGTTCAACTCCGTGAGTTGAATGCAGTCATCACAGAGAAGCTTCTGAGAATGCTTCTATCTAGTATTTAGGTGAAGATATTTCCTTTTCCACCACAAACCACAAAGCCCTCCAAACGTCCACTTGCAGATTCTAGAAAAAGAGTGTTTCATAGCTGCTCTTTCCAAAGGAAAGTTCAACTCTGGGAGTTGAATACAAACATCACCAAAAGGTTCCTGAGAATGCATCTGTCTAGTTTTTCTATGAAGCTATTCCCTTTACTACCATAGGCCTCAAAGCGCTCCAAATCTCCACTTGCACATTCCACAACAAGAGTGTTTCCAAACTGCTCTATCAATAGGAATGTTCAACTCTGTGAGGTGAATGCAATCATCACAAAGCAGTTTCTGAGAATGCTTCCGTTTAGTTAGGTGCAGTTATCCCGTTTCCAACGAAATCCTCAGAGAGGTCCAAATATCCACTTGTAGATTCTACAAAAAGTGTGTCTCAAACCTGCTCCATCCAAAGGAATGTTCAGCTCTGTGAGTTAAACTCAATCATCACAAAGTATTTTCTGAGAATGCTTCTGTCTAGATTTTATGCGAAGATGTACCCGTTTCGAACGAAGGCCACAGAGTGGTCCAAATATCCACTTGCAGATCCTACAAAAAGAGTGTTTCAAACCTGAACTATCAAAGGAAGGTTCAACTCTGGGATTTGAATGCAAACATCACCAAGAAGTTTCTGAGAATGCTTCTGTTTAGTTTCTATGTGAAGATATTCCCGTTTCCAAAGACATCTTCGGAGAGGTCCACATATCCACTTGCAGATTCCACAAAAAGAGAGTTTCAACACTGCTCTATCCATAGGAGGGTTCAACTCTGTGAGTTGAATGCAATCATCGCAGAGAAGTTTCCGAGAAGGCTTCTCTCCAGTTTTTATGTGACCATAATTCGTTTTCCACCACAGGCCTGAAAGCGCTCCAAATGTCCACTTGCAGACACTACGAAAAGCATGTTTCAGAACTACTCTATGAAAAGCAAAGTGAAACTCTGGGAGTTGAACACAAACATCACAGAGAAGTTTCTGAGAATGCTTCTGTTTTAGTTCTGTGCGTTTTATCCCGTTTCCAACGAAATCCTCAGAGAGGCCCAAATATCCACTTGCAGATTCCACAGAAAGAGTGATTGGAAACTGCTGTTTGAAAAGGAACCTTCAACTCTGTGAGTTGAATGCAATCATCACAAAGAAGTTTCTGACAATGCTTCTATCTAGCTTTTACGGGAAGATAATTCCTTTTCCACCACAGGCCTCAAAGCCCTCCAAATGTCCACTTGCAGATTCTGGAAAAAGAGTGTTTCAAAGCTTCTCTCTCGAAAGGAAAGTTCAACTCTGTGAGTTGAATGCAAGCATCACAAAGAAGTTTCTGAGAATGCTACTGTTTAGCTTTTATATGAAGCTATTTCCTTTACTACCATAGTCCTCAAAGCGGTCCATATCTCCACTTGCAGATTCTACACAAAGAGAGTTTCCAAACTGCTCTGTCAAAGGGAATGTTCAACTCTGTGACTTGAATGCAATCATCACAAAGTAGTTTCTGAGAATGCTTCTGTTTTAGTTCTGTGCGGTTTATCCCATTTCCAACGAAATCCTCAGAGAGGCCCAAATATCCACTTGCAGATTCTACAAAGAGTGTGTTTCGAAACTGCTCCATCCAAAGGAATGTTCAGCTCTGTGAGTTAAACTCAGTCGTCACCAAGAGTTTTCTGTGAATGCTTCTGTTTAGTTCTGTGCGGTTTATCACGTTTCCAACGAAATCCTCAGAGAGGACCAAATATCCACTTGCAGTTTCTACAAAAAGAGTGTTTCAAAGCTGAACTATCAAAGAAAGTTTCAGCACTGTGTGTGGAATGCAAACATCACGAAGAGGGTTCTGAGAATTCTTCTGTCTTCTTTTTATAGGAAGTTATTTCCTTTACTACAGTAGGCCTCAAAGAAGTGCAATTATCCCCTTGCAGTTTCTACGAAAGGAGTGTTTCAAACCTGAACTATCAAAGAAAGGTTCCACACTGTGAGTTGAATACAGACATCACGAAGAAGGTTCTGAGAATGCTTCTGTTTAGTCAGCTGAAATTATCGCGTTTCCAACGAATTCCTCAGAGAGGTCCAAATATGCACTTGCAGATTCTGCAGAAAGTGTGTTTCTAAACTGCTCCATCGCAAGGAATGTTCAGCTCTGTGAGTTCAACTCAATCATGCCAAAGAATTTTCTGAGAAAGCTTCTGTCTAGATGTCATGTGAAGATATACCCGTTTCGAACGAAGGACACAGAGTGGTCCAAATATCCACTTGTAGATCCTGCAAAAAGAGTGTTTCAAACGTGAACTTTGAAAGGAAAGTTCAACTCTGGGATTTGAATGCAAACATCACAAAGAAGATTCTGAGACTGCTTCTGTATAGTTTTTATGTGAAGATGATTCCGTTTCCAACGAAATCTTCAAAGAGGTCTACATGTCCCCTTGCAGATGCCACAGAAAGAGAGTTTCAAAACTGCGCTCTCAAAAGGAGTGTTCAACTCCGTGAGTTGAATGCAGTCATCACAGAGAAGCTTCTGAGAATGCTTCTATCTAGTATTTAGGTGAAGATATTTCCTTTTCCACCACAAACCACAAAGCCCTCCAAACGTCCACTTGCAGATTCTAGAAAAAGAGTGTTTCATAGCTGCTCTTTCCAAAGGAAAGTTCAACTCTGGGAGTTGAATACAAACATCACCAAAAGGTTCCTGAGAATGCATCTGTCTAGTTTTTCTATGAAGCTATTCCCTTTACTACCATAGGCCTCAAAGCGCTCCAAATCTCCACTTGCACATTCCACAACAAGAGTGTTTCCAAACTGCTCTATCAATAGGAATGTTCAACTCTGTGAGGTGAATGCAATCATCACAAAGCAGTTTCTGAGAATGCTTCCGTTTAGTTAGGTGCAGTTATCGCGTTTCCAACGAAATCCTCAGAGAGGTCCAAATATCCACTTGTAGATTCTACAAAAAGTGTGTCTCAAACCTGCTCCATCCAAAGGAATGTTCAGCTCTGTGAGTTAAACTCAATCATCACAAAGTATTTTCTGAGAATGCTTCTGTCTAGATTTTATGCGAAGATATACCCGTTTCGAACGAAGGCCACAGAGTGGTCCAAATAGCCACTTGCAGATCCTACAAAAAGAGTGTTTCAAACCTGAACTATCAAAGGAAGGTTCAACTCTGGGATTTGAATGCAAACATCACCAAGAAGTTTCTGAGAATGCTTCTGTTTAGTTTTTATGTGAAGATATTCCCGTTTCCAAAGACATCTTCGGAGAGGTCCACATATCCACTTGCAGATTCCACAAAAAGAGAGTTTCAACACTGCTCTATCCATAGGAGGGTTCAACTCTGTGAGTTGAATGCAATCATCACAGAGAAGTTTCTGAGAAGGCTTCTCTCCAGTTTTTATGTGACCATAATTCGTTTTCCACCACAGGCCTGAAAGCGCTCCAAATGTCCACTTGCAGACACTATGAAAAGCATGTTTCAGAACTACTCTATGAGAAGCAATGTGAAACTCTGGGAGTTGAACACAAATATCACAGAGAAGTTTCTGAGAATGCTTCTGTTTTAGTTCTGTGCGTTTTATCCCGTTTCCAACGAAATCCTCAGAGAGGCCCAAATATCCACTTGCAGATTCCACAGAAAGAGTGATTGGAAACTGCTGTTTGAAAAGGAACCTTCAACTCTGTGAGTTGAATGCAATCATCACAAAGAAGTTTCTGACAATGCTTCTGTCTAGCTTTTACGGGAAGATAATTCCTTTTCCACCACAGGCCTCAATGCCCTCCAAATGTCCACTTGCAGATTCTGGAAAAGAGTTTTTCAAAGCTTCTCTCTCGAAAGGAAAGTTCAACTCTGTGAGTTGAATGCAAGCATCACAAAGAAGTTTCTGAGAATGCTACTGTCTAGCTTTTATATGAAGCTATTTCCTTTACTACCATAGGCCTCAAAGCGGTCCATATCTCCACTTGCAGATTCTACACAAAGAGAGTTTCCAAACTGCTCTGTCAAAGGGAATGTTCAAGTCTGTGACTTGAATGCAATCATCACAAAGTAGTTTCTGAGAATGCTTCTGTTTAGTTCTGTGCGGTTTATCCCGTTTCCAACGAAATCCTCAGAGAGGCCCAAATATCCACTTGCACATTCTACAAATAGTGTGTTTCGAAACTGCTCCATCCAAAGGAATGTTCAGCTCTGTGAGTTAAACTCAGTCGTCACCAAGAGTTTTCTGTGAATGCTTCTGTTTTAGTTCTGTGCGGGTTATCCCGTTTCCAACGAAATCCTCAGAGAGGTCCAAATATCTACTTGCAGTTTCTACAGAAAGACCGTTTCAAACCTGAACTATCAAAGAAAGGTTCAACACTGTGAGTTGAATGCAAACATCACGAAGAAGGTTCTGAGAATGCTTCTGTTTAGTTCTGTGCGGTTTATCCCGTTTCCAACGAAATCCTCAGAGAGGACCAAATATCCACTTGCAGTTTCTACAAGAAGAGTGTTTCAAAGCTGAACTATCAAAGAAAGGTTCAGCACTGTGAGTTGAATGCAAACATCACGAAGAGGGTTCTGAGAATGCTTCTGTCTTCTTTCTATAGGAAGTTATTTCCTTTACTACGGTAGGCCTCAAAGAAGTGCAATTATCCCCTTGCAGTTTCTACAAAAAGAGTGTTTCAAACCTGAACTATCAAAGAAAGGTTCCACACTGTGAGTTGAATGCAGACATCACGAAGAAGGTTCTGAGAATGCTTCTGTTTAGTCAGCTGAAATTATCCCGTTTCCAACGAATTCCTCACAGAGGTCCAAATATGCACTTGCAGATTCTGCAGAAAGTGTGTTTCTAAACTGCTACATCGCAAGGAATGCTCACCTCTGTGAGTTCAACTCAATCATCCCAAAGAATTTTCTGAGAAAGCTTCTGTCTAGATGTCATGTGAAGATATACCCGTTTCGAACGAAGGACACAGAGTGGTCCAAATATCCACTTGTAGATCCTGCAAAAAGAGTGTTTCAAACGTGAACTTTGAAAGGAAAGTTCAACTCGGGGATTTGAATGCAAACATCACAAAGAAGATTCTGAGACTGCTTCTGTATAGTTTTTATGTGAAGATGATTCCGTTTCCAACGAAATCTTCAAAGAGGTCTACATGTCCCCTTGCAGATGCCACAGAAAGAGAGTTTCAAAACTGCGCTCTCAAAAGGAGTGTTCAACTCCGTGAGTTGAATGCAGTCATCACAGAGAAGCTTCTGAGGATGCTTCTATCTAGTATTTAGGTGAAGATATTTCCTTTTCCACCACAAACCACAAAGCCCTCCAAACGTCCACTTGCAGATTCTAGAAAAAGAGTGTTTCATAGCTGCTCTTTCCAAAGGAAAGTTCAACTCTGGGAGTTGAATACAAACATCACCAAAAAGTTCCTGAGAATGCATCTGTCTAGTTTTTCTATGAAGCTATTCCCTTTACTACCATAGGCCTCAAAGCGCTCCAAATCTCCACTTGCACATTCCACAACAAGAGTGTTTCCAAACTGCTCTATCAATAGGAATGTTCAACTCTGTGAGGTGAATGCAATCATCACAAAGCAGTTTCTGAGAATGCTTCCGTTTAGTTAGGTGCAGTTATCCCGTTTCCAACGAAATCCTCAGAGAGGTCCAAATATCCACTTGTAGATTCTACAAAAAGTGTGTCTCAAACCTGCTCCATCCAAAGGAATGGTCAGCTCTGTGATTTAAACTCAATCATCACAAAGTATTTTCTGAGAATGCTTCTGTCTAGATTTTATGCGAAGATGTACCCGTTTCGAACGAAGGCCACAGAGTGGTCCAAATATCCACTTGCAGATCCTACAAAAAGAGTGTTGCAAACCTGAACTATGAAAGGAAGGTTCAACTCTGGGATTTGAATGCAAACATCACCAAGAAGTTTCTGAGAATGCTTCTGTTTAGTTTTTATGTGAAGATATTCCCGTTGCCAAAGACATCTTCGGAGAGGTCCACATATCCGCTTGCAGATTCCACAAAAAGAGAGTTTCAACACTGCTCTATCCATAGGAGGGTTCAACTCTGTGAGTTGAATGCAATCATCACAGAGAAGTTTCTGAGAAGGCTTCTCTCCAGTTTTTATGTGACCATAATTCGTTTTCCACCACAGGCCTGAAAGCGCTCCAAATGTCCACTTGCAGACACTACGAAAAGCATGTTTCAGAACTACTCTATGAGAAGCAATGTGAAACTCCGGGAGTTGAACACAAACATCACAGAGAAGTTTCTGAGAATGCTTCTGTTTTAGTTCTGTGCGTTTTATCCCGTTTCCAACGAAATCCTCAGAGAGGCCCAAATATCCACTTGCAGATTCCACAGAAAGAGTGATTGGAAACTGCTGTTTGAAAAGGAACCTTCAACTCTGTGAGTTGAATGCAATCATCACAAAGAAGTTTCTGACAATGCTTCTATCTAGCTTTTACGGGAAGATAATTCCTTTTCCACCACAGGCCTCAAAGCTCCCCAAATGTCCACTTGCACATTCTGGAAAAAGAGTGTTTCAAAGCTTCTCTCTCGAAAGGAAAGTTCAACTCTGTGAGTTGAATGCAAGCATCACAAAGAAGTTTCTGAGAATGCTACTGTCTAGCTTTTATATGAAGCTATTTCCTTTACTACCATAGGCCTCAAAGCGGTCCATATCTCCACTTGCAGATTCTACACAAAGAGAGTTTCCAAACTGCTCTGTCAAAGGGAATGTTCAACTCTGTGACTTGAATGCAATCATCACAAAGTAGTTTCTGAGAATGCTTCTGTTTAGTTCTGTGCGGTTTATCCCGTTTCCAACGAAATCCTCAGAGAGGCCTAAATATCCACTTGCACATTCTACAAATAGTGTGTTTCGAAACTGCTCCATCCAAAGGAATGTTCAGCTCTGTGAGTTAAACTCAGTCGTCACCAAGAGTTTTCTGTGAATGCTTCCGTTTAGTTAGGTGCAGTTATCCCGTTTCCAACGAAATCCTCAGAGAGGTCCAAATGTCTACTTGCAGTTTCTACAGAAAGACCGTTTCAAACCTGAACTATCAAAGAAAGGTTCAACACTGTGAGTTGAATGCAAACATCATGAAGAAGGTTCTGAGAATGCTTCTGTTTTAGTTCTGTGCGGTTTATCCCGTTTCCAACGAAATCCTCAGAGAGGACCAAACATCCACTTGCAGTTTCTACAAAAAGAGTGTTTCAAAGCTGCACTATCAAAGAAAGGTTCAGCACTGTGAGTTGAATGCAAACATCACGAAGAGGGCTCTGAGAATTCTTCTGTCTTCTTTCTATAGGAAGTTATTTCCTTTACTACGGTAGGCCTCAAAGAAGTGCAATTATCCCCTTGCAGTTTCTACAAAAAGAGTGTTTCAAACCTGAACTATCAAAGAAAGGTTCCACACTGTGAGTTGAATGCAGACATCACGAAGAAGGTTCTGAGAATGCTTCTGTTTAGTCAGCTGAAATTATCCCGTTTCCAACGAATTCCTCAGAGAGGTCCAAATATGCACTTGCAGATTCTGCAGAAAGTGTGTTTCTAAACTGCTACATCGCAAGGAATGTTCAGCTCTGTGAGTTCCACTCAATCATCCCAAAGAATTTTCTGAGAAAGCTTCTGTCTAGATGTCATGTGAAGATATACCCGTTTCGAACGAAGGACACAGAGTGGTCCAAATATCCACTTGTAGATCCTGCAAAAAGAGTGTTTCAAGCGTGAACTTTGAAAGGAAAGTTCAACTCTGGGATTTGAATGCAAACATCACAAAGAAGATTCTGAGACTGCTTCTGTATAGTTTTTATGTGAAGATGATTCCGTTTCCAACGAAATCTTCAAAGAGGTCTACATGTCCCCTTGCAGATGCCACAGAAAGAGAGTTTCAAAACTGCGCTCTCAAAAGGAGTGTTCAACTCCGTGAGTTGAATGCAGTCATCACAGAGAAGCTTCTGAGAATGCTTCTATCTAGTATTTAGGTGAAGATATTTCCTTTCCACCACAAACCACAAAGCCCTCCAAACGTCCACTTGCAGATTCTAGAAAAAGAGTGTTTCATAGCTGCTCTTTCCAAAGGAAAGTTCAACTCTGGGAGTTGAATACAAACATCACCAAAAAGTTCCTGAGAATGCATCTGTCTAGTTTTTCTATGAAGCTATTCCCTTTACTACCACAGGCCTCAAAGCGCTCCAAATCTCCACTTGCACATTCCACAACAAGAGTGTTTCCAAACTGCTCTATCAATAGGAATGTTCAACTACTGTGAGGTGAATGCAATCATCACAAAGCAGTTTCCTGAGAATGCTTCCGTTTAGTTAGGTGCAGTTATCCCGTTTCCAACGAAATCCTCAGAGAGGTCCAAATATCCACTTGTAGATTCTACAAAAAGTGTGTCTCAAACCTGCTCCATCCAAAGGAATGGTCAGCTCTGTGATTTAAACTCAATCATCACAAAGTATTTTCTGAGAATGCTTCTGTCTAGATTTTATGCGAAGATATACCCGTTTCGAACGAAGGCCACAGAGTGGTCCAAATAGCCACTTGCAGATCCTACAGAAAGAGTGTTTCAAACCTGAACTATCAAAGGAAGGTTCAACTCTGGGATTTGAATGCAAACATCACCAAGAAGTTTCTGAGAATGCTTCTGTTTAGTTTTTATGTGAAGATATTCCCGTTTCCAAAGACATCTTCGGAGAGGTCCACATATCCACTTGCAGATTCCACAAAAAGAGAGTTTCAACACTGCTCTATCCATAGGAGGGTTCAACTCTGTGAGTTGAATGCAATCATCACAGAGAAGTTTCTGAGAAGGCTTCTCTCCAGTTTTTATGTGACCATAATTCGTTTTCCACCACAGGCCTGAAAGCGCTCCAAATGTCCACTTGCAGACACTACGAAAAGCATGTTTCAGAACTACTCTATGAAAAGCAACGTGAAACTCTGGGAGTTGAACACAAACATCACAGAGAAGTTTCTCAGAATGCTTCTGTTTAGCTTTTCTGTGAAGATTCTCCCGTTTCCAACGAAATCTTCAAAGAGGTCCAAATATCCACTTGCAGATTCCACAGAAAGAGTGTTTGGAAACTGCTGTTTGTAAAGGAACCTTCATCTCTGTGAGTTGAATGCAATCATCACAAAGAAGTTTCTGACAATGCTTCCATCTAGCTTTTACGGGAAGATAATTCCTTTTCCACCACAGGCCTCAAAGCCCTCCAAATGTCCACTTGCAGATTCTGGAAAAAGAGTGTTTCAAAGCTTCTCTCTCGAAAGGAAAGTTCAACTCTGTGAGTTGAATGCAAGCATCACAAAGAAGTTTCTGAGAATGCTACTGTCTAGCTTTTATATGAAGCTATTTCCTTTACTACCATAGGCCTCAAAGCGGTCCATATCTCCACTTGCAGATTCTACACAAAGAGAGTTTCCAAACTGCTCTGTCAAAGGGAATGTTCAACTCTGTGACTTGAATGCAATCATCACAAAGTAGTTTCTGAGAATGCTTCTGTTTAGTTCTGTGCGGTTTATCCCGTTTCCAACGAAATCCTCAGAGAGGCCCAAATATCCACTTGCACATTCTACAAATAGTGTGTTTCGAAACTGCTCCATCCAAAGGAATGTTCAGCTCTGTGAGTTAAACTCAGTCGTCACCAAGAGTTTTCTGTGAATGCTTCTGTTTTAGTTCTGTGCGGGTTATCCCGTTTCCAACGAAATCCTCAGAGAGGTCCAAATATCTACTTGCAGTTTCTACAGAAAGACCGTTTCAAACCTGAACTATCAAAGAAAGGTTCAACACTGTGAGTTGAATGCAAACATCACGAAGAAGGTTCTGAGAATGCTTCTGTTTAGTTCTGTGCAGTTTATCCCGTTTCCAACGAAATCCTCAGAGAGGACCAAATATCCACTTGCAGTTTCTACAAAAAGAGTGTTTCAAAGCTGAACTATCAAAGAAAGGTTCAGCACTGTGAGTTGAATGCAAACATCACGAAGAGGGTTCTGAGAATGCTTCTGTCTTCTTTTTATAGGAAGTTATCTCCTTTACTACGGTAGGCCTCAAAGAAGTGCAATGATCCCCTTGCAGTTTCTACAAAAAGAGTGTTTCAAACCTGAACTATCAAAGAAAGGTTCCACACTGTGAGTTGAATGCAGACATCACGAAGAAGGTTCTGAGAATGCTTCTGTTTAGTCAGCTGAAATTATCCCGTTTCCAACGAATTCCTCACAGAGGTCCAAATATGCACTTGCAGATTCTGCAGAAAGTGTGTTTCTAAACTGCTACATCGCAAGGAATGTTCAGCTCTGTGAGTTCCACTCAATCATCCCAAAGAATTTTCTGAGAAAGCTTCTGTCTAGATGTCGTGTGAAGATATACCCGTTTCGAACGAAGGACACAGAGTGGTCCAAATATCCACTTGTAGATCCTGCAAAAAGAGTGTTTCAAACGTGAACTTTGAAAGGAAAGTTCAACTCTGGGATTTGAATGCAAACATCACAAAGAAGATTCTGAGACTGCTTCTGTGTAGTTTTTATGTGAAGATGATTCCGTTTCCAACGAAATCTTCAAAGAGGTCTACATGTCCCCTTGCAGATGCCACAGAAAGAGAGTTTCAAAACTGCGCTCTCAAAAGGAGTGTTCAACTCCGTGAGTTGAATGCAGTCATCACAGAGAAGCTTCTGAGGATGCTTCTATCTAGTATTTAGGTGAAGATATTTCCTTTTCCACCACAAACCGCAAAGCCCTCCAAACGTCCACTTGCAGATTCTAGAAAAAGAGTGTTTCATAGCTGCTCTTTCCAAAGGAAAGTTGAACTCTGGGAGTTGAATACAAACATCACCAAAAAGTTCCTGAGAATGCATCTGTCTAGTTTTTCTATGAAGCTATTCCCTTTACTACCACAGGCCTCAAAGCGCTCCAAATCTCCACTTGCACATTCCACAACAAGAGTGTTTCCAAACTGCTCTATCAATAGGAATGTTCAACTCTGTGAGGTGAATGCAATCATCACAAAGCAGTTTCTGAGAATGCTTCCGTTTAGTTAGGTGCAGTTATCCCGTTTCCAACGAAATCCTCAGAGAGGTCCAAATATCCACTTGTAGATTCTACAAAAAGTGTGTCTCAAACCTGCTCCATCCAAAGGAATGGTCAGCTCTGTGATTTAAACTCAATCATCACAAAGTATTTTCTGAGAATGCTTCTGTCTAGATTTTATGCGAAGATATACCCGTTTCGAACGAAGGCCACAGAGTGGTCCAAATAGCCACTTGCAGATCCTACAGAAAGAGTGTTTCAAACCTGAACTATCAAAGGAAGGTTCAACTCTGGGATTTGAATGCAAACATCACCAAGAAGTTTCTGAGAATGCTTCTGTTTAGTTTTTATGTGAAGATATTCCCGTTTCCAAAGACATCTTCGGAGAGGTCCACATATCCACTTGCAGATTCCACAAAAAGAGAGTTTCAACACTGCTCTATCCATAGGAGGGTTCAACTCTGTGAGTTGAATGCAATCATCACAGAGAAGTTTCTGAGAAGGCTTCTCTCCAGTTTTTATGTGACCATAATTCGTTTTCCACCACAGGCCTGAAAGCGCTCCAAATGTCCACTTGCAGACACTACGAAAAGCATGTTTCAGAACTACTCTATGAAAAGCAACGTGAAACTCTGGGAGTTGAACACAAACATCACAGAGAAGTTTCTGAGAATGCTTCTGTTTAGCTTTTCTGTGAAGATTCTCCCGTTTCCAACGAAATCTTCAAAGAGGTCCAAATATCCACTTGCAGATTCCACAGAAAGAGTGTTTGGAAACTGCTGTTTGGAAAGGAACCTTCAACTCTGTGAGTTGAATGCAATCATCACAAAGAAGTTTCTGACAATGCTTCTATCTAGCTTTTACGGGAAGATAATTCCTTTTCCACCACAGGCCTCAAAGCCCTCCAAATGTCCACTTGCAGATTCTGGAAAAAGAGTGTTTCAAAGCTTCTCTCTCGAATGGAAAGTTCAACTCTGTGAGTTGAATGCAAGCATCACAAAGAAGTTTCTGAGAATGCTACTGTCTAGCTTTTATATGAAGCTATTTCCTTTACTACCATAGTCCTCAAAGCATACCATATCTCCACTTGCAGATTCTACACAAAGAGAGTTTCCAAACTGCTCCGTCAAAGGGAATGTTCAGCTCTGTGGCTTGAATGCAATCATCACAAAGTAGTTTCTGAGAATGCTTCTGTTTTAGTTCTGTGCGGTTTATCCCGTTTCCAACGAAATCTTCAGAGTGGCCATGGCATATCCAATTGCAGATTCTACAAATAGTGTGTTTCGAAACTGCTCCATCCAAAGGAATGTTCAGCTCTGTGAGTTAAACTCAGTCGTCACCAAGAGTTTTCTGTGAATGCTTCTGTTTAGTTCTGTGTGGTTTATCCCGTTTCCAACGAAATCCTCAGAGAGGACCAAATATCCAGTTGCAGTTTCTACAAAAAGAGTGTTTCAAAGCTGAACTATCAAAGAAAGGTTCAGCACTGTGTGTTGAATGCAAACATCACGAAGAGGGTTCTGAGAATGCTTCTGTTTTAGTTCTGTGCGGTTTATCCCGTTTCCAACGAAATCCTCAGAGAGGACCAAACATCCACTTGCAGTTTCTACAAAAAGAGTGTTTCAAAGCTGCACTATCAAAGAAAGGTTCAGCACTGTGAGTTGAATGCAAACATCACGAAGAGGGCTCTGAGAATTCTTCTGTCTTCTTTTTATAGGAAGTTATTTCCTTTACTACGGTAGGCCTCAAAGAAGTGCAATTATCCCCTTGCAGTTTCTACAAAAAGAGTGTTTCAAACCTGAACTATCAAAGAAAGGTTCCACACTGTGAGTTGAATGCAGACATCACGAAGAAGGTTACTGAGAATGCTTCTGTTTAGTTAGCTGAAATTATCCCGTTTCCAACGAGTTAGCTGAAATTATCCCGTTTCCAACGAATTCCTCAGAGAGGTCCAAATATGCACTTGCAGATTCTGCAGAAAGTGTGTTTCTATACTGCTACATCGCAAGGAATGCTCAGATCTGTGAGTTCAACTCAATCATCCCAAAGAATTTTCTGAGAAAGCTTCTGTCTAGATGTCATGTGAAGATATACCCGTTTCGAAAGAAGGACACAGAGTGGTCCAAATATCCACTTGTAGATCCTGCAAAAAGAGTGTTTCAAACGTGAACTTTGAAAGGAAAGTTCAACTCTGGGATTTGAATGCAAACATCACAAAGAAGATTCTGAGACTGCTTCTGTATAGTTTTTATGTGAAGATGATTCCGTTTCCAACGAAATCTTCAAAGAGGTCTACATGTCCCCTTGCAGATGCCACAGAAAGAGAGTTTCAAAACTGCGCTCTCAAAAGGAGTGTTCAACTCC
Organism: Homo sapiens; assembly: GCF_000001405.40. NCBI lineage: Eukaryota > Metazoa > Chordata > Mammalia > Primates > Hominidae > Homo > Homo sapiens. Next base: position 26,298,639 of record NC_000017.11, on the reverse strand, counting down.
TTGAGTTGAATGCAGTCATCACAGAGAAGCTTCTGAGAATGCTTCTATCTAGTATTTAGGTGAAGATATTTCCTTTTCCACCACAAACCACAAAGCCCTCCAAACGTCCTCTTGCAGATTCTAGAAAAAGAGTGTTTCACAGCTGCTCTTTCCAAAGGAAAGTTCAACTCTGGGAGTTGAATACAAACATCACCAAAAAGTTCCTGAGAATGCATCTGTCTAGTTTTTCTATGAAGCTATTCCCTTTACTACCATAGGCCTCAAAGCGCTCCAAATCTCCACTTGCACATTCCACAACAAGAGTGTTTCCAAACTGCTCTATCAATAGGAATGTTCAACTCTGTGAGGTGAATGCAATCATCACAAAGCAGTTTCTGAGAATGCTTCCGTTTAGTTAGGTGCAGTTATCCCGTTTCCAACGAAATCCTCAGAGAGGTCCAAATATCCACTTGTAGATTCTACAAAAAGTGTGTCTCAAACCTGCTCCATCCAAAGGAATGGTCAGCTCTGTGATTTAAACTCAATCATCACAAAGTATTTTCTGAGAATGCTTCTGTCTAGATATTATGCGAAGATGTACCCGTTTCGAACGAAGGGCCACAGAGTGGTCCAAATATCCACTTGCAGATCCTACAAAAAGAGTGTTTCAAACCTGAACTATCAAAGGAAGGTTCAACTCTGGGATTTGAATGCAAACATCACCAAGAAGTTTCTGAGAATGCTTCTGTTTAGTTTTTATGTGAAGATAGTCCCCTTTCCAAAGACATCTTCGGAGAGGTCCACATATCCACTTGCAGATTCCACAAAAAGAGAGTTTCAACACTGCTCTATCCATAGTAGGGTTCAACTCTGTGAGTTGAATGCAATCATCACAGAGAAGTTTCTGAGAAGGCTTCTCTCCAGTTTTTATGTGACCATAATTCGTTTTCCACCACAGGCCTGAAAGCGCTCCAAATGTCCACTTGCAGACACTACGAAAAGCATGTTTCAGAACTACTCTATGAAAAGCAACGTGAAACTCTGGGAGTTGAACACAAACATCACAGAGAAGTTTCTGAGAATGCTTCTGTTTTAGTTCTGTGCGTTTTATCCCGTTTCCAACGAAATCCTCAGAGAGGCCCAAATATCCACTTGCAGATTCCACAGAAAGAGTGATTGGAAACTGCTGTTTGAAAAGGAACCTTCAACTCTGTGAGTTGAATGCAATCATCACAAAGAAGTTTCTGACAATGCTTCTATCTAGCTTTTACGGGAAGATAATTCCTTTTCCACCCCAGGCCTCAAAGCTCCCCAAATGTCCACTTGCACATTCTGGAAAAAGAGTGTTTCAAAGCTTCTCTCTCGAAAGGAAAGTTCAACTCTGTGAGTTGAATGCAAGCATCACAAAGAAGTTTCTGAGAATGCTACTGTCTAGCTTTTATATGAAGCTATTTCCTTTACTACCATAGGCCTCAAAGCGGTCCATATCTCCACTTGCAGATTCTACACAAAGAGAGTTTCCAAACTGCTCTGTCAAAGGGAATGTTCAACTCTGTGACTTGAATGCAATCATCACAAAGTAGTTTCTGAGAATGCTTCTGTTTTAGTTCTGTGCGGTTTATCCCGTTTCCAACGAAATCCTCAGAGAGGCCCAAATATCCACTTGCAGATTCTACCAATAGTGTGTTTCGAAACTGCTCCATCCAAAGGAATGTTCAGCTCTGTGAGTTAAACTCAGTCGTCACCAAGAGTTTTCTGTGAATGCTTCTGTTTTAGTTCTGTGCGGTTTATCCCGTTTCCAACGAAATCCTCAGAGAGGTCCAAATATCTACTTGCAGTTTCTACAGAAAGACCGTTTCAAACCTGAACTATCAAAGAAAGGTTCAACACTGTGAGTTGAATGCAAACATCACGAAGAAGGTTCTGAGAATGCTTCTGTTTAGTTCTGTGCGGTTTATCCCGTTTCCAACGAAATCCTCAGAGAGGACCAAATATACACTTGCGGTTTCTACAAAAAGAGTGTTTCAAAGCTGAACTATCAAAGAAAGGTTCAGCACCGTGAGTTGAATGCAAACATCACGAAGAGGGTTCTGAGAATGCTTCTGTCTTCTTTCTATAGGAAGTTATTTCCTTTACTACGGTAGGCCTCAAAGAAGTGCAATTATCCCCTTGCAGTTTCTACAAAAAGAGTGTTTCAAACCTGAACTATCAAAGAAAGGTTCCACACTGTGAGTTGAATGCAGACATCACGAAGAAGGTTCTGAGAATGCTTCTGTTTAGTCAGCTGAAATTATCCCGTTTCCAACGAATTCCTCAGAGAGGTCCAAATATGCACTTGCAGATTCTGCAGAAAGTGTGTTTCTAAACTGCTACATCGCAAGGAATGTTTATCTCTGTGAGTTCAACTCAATCATCCCAAAGAATTTTCTGAGAAAGCTTCTGTCTAGATGTCGTGTGAAGATATACCCGTTTCGAACGAAGGACACAGAGTGGTCCAAATATCCACTTGTAGATCCTGCAAAAAGAGTGTTTCAAACGTGAACTTTGAAAGGAAAGTTCAACTCTGGGATTTGAATGCAAACATCGCAAAGAAGATTCTGAGACTGCTTCTGTATAGTTTTTATGTGAAGATGATTCCGTTTCCAACGAAATCTTCAAAGAGGTCTACATGTCCCCTTGCAGATGCCACAGAAAGAGAGTTTCAAAACTGCGCTCTCAAAAGGAGTGTTCAACTCCGTGAGTTGAATGCAGTCATCACAGAGAAGCTTCTGAGAATGCTTCTATCTAGTATTTAGGTGAAGATATTTCCTTTTCCACCACAAACCACAAAGCCCTCCAAACGTCCACTTGCAGATTCTAGAAAAAGAGTGTTTCATAGCTGCTCTTTCCAAAGGAAAGTTCAACTCTGGGAGTTGAATACAAACATCACCAAAAAGTTCCTGAGAATGCATCTGTCTAGTTTTTCTATGAAGCTATTCCCTTTACTACCATAGGCCTCAAAGCGCTCCAAATCTCCACTTGCACATTCCACAACAAGAGTGTTTCCAAACTGCTCTATCAATAGGAATGTTCAACTCTGTGAGGTGAATGCAATCATCACAAAGCAGTTTCTGAGAATGCTTCCGTTTAGTTAGGTGCAGTTATCCCGTTTCCAACGAAATCCTCAGAGAGGTCCAAATATTCACTTGTAGATTCTACAAAAAGTGTGTCTCAAACCTGCTCCATCCAAAGGAATGGTCAGCTCTGTGATTTAAACTCAATCATCACAAAGTATTTTCTGAGAATGCTTCTGTCTAGATTTTATGCGAAGATATACCCGTTTCGAACGAAGGCCACAGAGTGGTCCAAATAGCCACTTGCAGATCCTACAAAAAGAGTGTTTCAAACCTGAACTATCAAAGGAAGGTTCAACTCTGGGATTTGAATGCAAACATCACCAAGAAGTTTCTGAGAATGCTTCTGTTTAGTTTTTATGTGAAGATATTCCCGTTTCCAAAGACATCTTCGGAGAGGTCCACATATCCACTTGCAGATTCCACAAAAAGAGAGTTTCAACACTGCTCTATCCATAGGAGGGTTCAACTCTGTGAGTTGAATGCAATCATCACAGAGAAGTTTCTGAGAAGGCTTCTCTCCAGTTTTTATGTGACCATAATTCGTTTTCCACCACAGGCCTGAGAGCGCTCCAAATGTCCACTTGCAGACACTACGAAAAGCATGTTTCAGAACTACTCTATGAAAAGCAATGTGAAACTCTGGGAGTTGAACACAAACATCACAGAGAAGTTTCTGAGAATGCTTCTGTTTAGCTTTTCTGTGAAGATTATCCCGTTTCCAACGAAATCTTCAAAATAGGTCCAAATATCCACTTGCAGATTCCTCAGAAAGAGTGATTGGAAACTGCTCTTTGAAAAGGAACCTTCAACTCTGTGAGTTGAATGCAATCATCACAAAGAAGTTTCTGACAATGCTTCTATCTAGCTTTTACGGGAAGATAATTCCTTTTCCACCACAGGCCTCAAAGCTCCCCAAATGTCCACTTGCACATTCTGGAAAAAGAGTGTTTCAAAGCTTCTCTCTCGAAAGGAAAGTTCAACTCTGTGAGTTGAATGCAAGCATCACAAAGAAGTTTCTGAGAATGCTACTGTCTAGCTTTTATATGAAGCTATTTCCTTTACTACCATAGGCCTCAAAGCGGTCCATATCTCCACTTGCAGATTCTACACAAAGAGAGTTTCCAAACTGCTCTGTCAAAGGGAATGTTCAACTCTGTGACTTGAATGCAATCATCACAAAGTAGTTTCTGAGAATGCTTCTGTTTAGTTCTGTGCGGTTTATCCCGTTTCCAACGAAATCCTCAGAGAGGCCTAAATATCCACTTGCACATTCTACAAATAGTGTGTTTCGAAACTGCTCCATCCAAAGGAATGTTCAGCTCTGTGAGTTAAACTCAGTCGTCACCAAGAGTTTTCTGTGAATGCTTCTGTTTTAGTTCTGTGCGGTTTATCCCGTTTCCAACGAAATCCTCAGAGAGGTCCAAATATCTACTTGCAGTTTCTACAGAAAGACCGTTTCAAACCTGAACTATCAAAGAAAGGTTCAACACTGTGAGTTGAATGCAAACATCACGAAGAAGGTTCTGAGAATGCTTCTGTTTAGTTCTGTGCGTTTTATCCCGTTTCCAACGAAATCGTCAGAGAGGACCAAATATTCACTTGCAGTTTCTACAAAAAGAGTGTTTCAAAGCTGAACTATCAAAGAAAGGTTCAGCACTGTGAGTTGAATGCAAACATCACGAAGAGGGTTCTGAGAATGCTTCTGTCTTCTTTTTATAGGAAGTTATTTCCTTTACTACGGTACTCCTCAAAGAGTGCAATTATCCCCTTGCAGTTTCTACAAAAAGAGTTTTTAAAACCTGAACTATCAAAGAAAGGTTCCACACTTTGTGTTGAATGCAGACATCACGAAGAAGGTTCTGAGAATGCTTCTGTTTAGTCAGCTGAAATTATCCCGTTTCCAACGAATTCCTCACAGAGGTCCAAATATGCACTTGCAGATTCTGCAGAAAGTGTGTTTCTAAACTGCTACATCGCAAGGAATGCTCAGCTCTGTGAGTTCAACTCAATCATCCCAAAGAATTTTCTGAGAAAGCTTCTGTCTAGATGTCGTGTGAAGATATACCCGTTTCGAACGAAGGACACAGAGTGGTCCAAATATCCACTTGTAGATCCTGCAAAAAGAGTGTTTCAAACGTGAACTTTGAAAGGAAAGTTCAACTCTGGGATTTGAATGCAAACATCACAAAGAAGATTCTGAGACTGCTTCTGTATAGTTTTTATGTGAAGATGATTCCGTTTCCAACGAAATCTTCAAAGAGGTCTACATGTCCCCTTGCAGATGCCACAGAAAGAGAGTTTCAAAACTGCGCTCTCAAAAGGAGTGTTCAACTCCGTGAGTTGAATGCAGTCATCACAGAGAAGCTTCTGAGAATGCTTCTATCTAGTATTTAGGTGAAGATATTTCCTTTTCCACCACAAACCACAAAGCCCTCCAAACGTCCACTTGCAGATTCTAGAAAAAGAGTGTTTCATAGCTGCTCTTTCCAAAGGAAAGTTCAACTCTGGGAGTTGAATACAAACATCACCAAAAAGTTCCTGAGAATGCATCTGTCTAGTTTTTCTATGAAGCTATTCCCTTTACTACCATAGGCCTCAAAGCGCTCCAAATCTCCACTTGCACATTCCACAACAAGAGTGTTTCCAAACTGCTCTATCAATAGGAATGTTCAACTCTGTGAGGTGAATGCAATCATCACAAAGCAGTTTCTGAGAATGCTTCCCGTTTAGTTAGGTGCAGTTATCCCGTTTCCAACGAAATCCTCAGAGAGGTCCAAATATCCACTTGTAGATTCTACAAAAAGTGTGTCTCAAACCTGCTCCATCCAAAGGAATGTTCAGCTCTGTGAGTTAAACTCAATCATCACAAAGTATTTTCTGAGAATGCTTCTGTATAGATTTTATGTGAAGATGTACCCGTTTCGAACGAAGGCCACAGAGTGGTCCAAATATCCACTTGCAGATCCTACAAAAAGAGTGTTTCAAACCTGAACTATCAAAGGAAGGTTCAACTCTGGGATTTGAATGCAAACATCACCAAGAAGTTTCTGAGAATGCTTCTGTTTAGTTTTTATGTGAAGATATTCCCGTTTCCAAAGACATCTTCGGAGAGGTCCACATATCCACTTGCAGATTCCACAAAAAGAGAGTTTCAACACTGCTCTATCCATAGGAGGGTTCAACTCTGTGAGTTGAATGCAATCATCACAGAGAAGTTTCTGAGAAGGCTTCTGTCCAGTTTTTATGTGACCATAATTCGTTTTCCACCACAGGCCTGAAAGCGCTCCAAATGTCCACTTGCAGACACTACGAAAAGCATGTTTCAGAACTACTCTATGAGAAGCAATGTGACACTCTGGGAGTTGAACACAAACATCACAGAGAAGTTTCTGAGAATGCTTCTGTTTTAGTTCTGTGCGTTTTATCCCGTTTCCAACGAAATCCTCAGAGAGGCCCAAATATCCACTTGCAGATTCCACAGAAAGAGTGATTGGAAACTGCTGTTTGAAAAGGAACCTTCAACTCTGTGAGTTGAATGCAATCATCACAAAGAAGTTTCTGACAATGCTTCTATCTAGCTTTTACGGGAAGATAATTCCTTTTCCACCACAGGCCTCAAAGCTCCCCAAATGTCCACTTGCACATTCTGGAAAAAGAGTGTTTCAAAGCTTCTCTCTCGAAAGGAAAGTTCAACTCTGTGAGTTGAATGCAAGCATCACAAAGAAGTTTCTGAGAATGCTACTGTCTAGCTTTTATATGAAGCTATTTCCTTTACTACCATAGGCCTCAAAGCGGTCCATATCTCCACTTGCAGATTCTACACAAAGAGAGTTTCCAAACTGCTCTGTCAAAGGGAATGTTCAACTCTGTGACTTGAATGCAATCATCACAAAGTAGTTTCTGAGAATGCTTCTGTTTAGTTCTGTGCGGTTTATCCCGTTTCCAACGAAATCCTCAGAGAGGCCCACATATCCACTTGCACATTCTACAAATAGTGTGTTTCGAAACTGCTCCATCCAAAGGAATGTTCAGCTCTGTGAGTTAAACTCAGTCGTCACCAAGAGTTTTCTGTGAATGCTTCTGTTTTAGTTCTGTGCGGGTTATCCCGTTTCCAACGAAATCCTCAGAGCGGTCCAAATATCTACTTGCAGTTTCTGCAGAAAGACCGTTTCAAACCTGAACTATCAAAGAAAGGTTCAACACTGTGAGTTGAATGCAAACATCACGAAGAAGGTTCTGAGAATGCTTCTGTTTAGTTCTGTGCAGTTTATCCCGTTTCCAACGAAATCCTCAGAGAGGACCAAATATCCACTTGCAGTTTCTACAAAAAGAGTGTTTCAAAGCTGAACTATCAAAGAAAGGTTCAGCACTGTGTGTTGAATGCAAACATCACGAAGAGGGTTCTGAGAATGCTTCTGTCTTCTTTCTATAGGAAGTTATTTCCTTTACTACGGTAGGCCTCAAAGAAGTGCAATTATCCCCTTGCAGTTTCTACAAAAAGAGTGTTTCAAACCTGAACTATCAAAGAAAGGTTCCACACTGTGAGTTGAATGCAGACATCACGAAGAAGGTTCTGAGAATGCTTCTGTTTAGTCAGCTGAAATTATCCCGTTTCCAACGAATTCCTCAGAGAGGTCCAAATATGCACTTGCAGATTCTGCAGAAAGTGTGTTTCTAAACTGCTACATCGCAAGGAATGTTCAGCTCTGTGAGTTCCACTCAATCATCCCAAAGAATTTTCTGAGAAAGCTTCTGTCTAGATGTCGTGTGAAGATATACCCGTTTCGAACGAAGGACACAGAGTGGTCCAAATATCCACTTGTAGATCCTGCAAAAAGAGTGTTTCAAACGTGAACTTTGAAAGGAAAGTTCAACTCTGGGATTTGAATGCAAACATCACAAAGAAGATTCTGAGACTGCTTCTGTATAGTTTTTATGTGAAGATGATTCCGTTTCCAACGAAATCTTCAAAGAGGTCTACATGTCCCCTTGCAGATGCCACAGAAAGAGAGTTTCAAAACTGCGCTCTCAAAAGGAGTGTTCAACTCCGTGAGTTGAATGCAGTCATCACAGAGAAGCTTCTGAGAATGCTTCTATCTAGTATTTAGGTGAAGATATTTCCTTTTCCACCACAAACCACAAAGCCCTCCAAACGTCCACTTGCAGATTCTAGAAAAAGAGTGTTTCATAGCTGCTCTTTCCAAAGGAAAGTTCAACTCTGGGAGTTGAATACAAACATCACCAAAAAGTTCCTGAGAATGCATCTGTCTAGTTTTTCTATGAAGCTATTCCCTTTACTACCATAGGCCTCAAAGCGCTCCAAATCTCCACTTGCACATTCCACAACAAGAGTGTTTCCAAACTGCTCTATCAATAGGAATGTTCAACTCTGTGAGGTGAATGCAATCATCACAAAGCAGTTTCTGAGAATGCTTCCGTTTAATTAGGTGCAGTTATCGCGTTTCCAACGAAATCCTCAGAGAGGTCCAAATATCCACTTGTAGTTTCTACAAAAAGTGTGTCTCAAACCTGCTCCATCCAAAGGAATGTTCAGCTCTGTGAGTTAAACTCAATCATCACAAAGTATTTTCTGAGAATGCTTCTGTCTAGATTTTATGCGAAGATGTACCCGTTTCGAACGAAGGCCACAGAGTGGTCCAAATATCCACTTGCAGATCCTACAAAAAGAGTGTTTCAAACCTGAACTCTCAAAGGAAGGTTCAACTCTGGGATTTGAATGCAAACATCACCAAGAAGTTTCTGAGAATGCTTCTGTTTAGTTTTTATGTGAAGATATTCCCGTTTCCAAAGACATCTTCGGAGAGGTCCACATATCCACTTGCAGATTCCACAAAAAGAGAGTTTCAACACTGCTCTATCCATAGGAGGGTTCAACTCTGTGAGTTGAATGCAATCATCACAGAGAAGTTTCTGAGAAGGCTTCTCTCCAGTTTTTATGTGACCATAATTCATTTTCCACCACAGGCCTGAAAGCGCTCCAAATGTCCACTTGTAGACACTACGAAAAGCATGTTTCAGAACTACTCTATGAAAAGCAATGTGAAACTCTGGGAGTTGAACACAAACATCACAGAGAAGTTTCTGAGAATGCTTCTGTTTAGCTTTTCTGTGAAGGTTCTCCCGTTTCCAACGAAATCTTCAAAGAGGACGAAATATCCACTTGCAGATTCCACAGAAAGAGTGATTGGAAACTGCTGTTTGAAAAGGAACCTTCAACTCTGTGAGTTGAATGCAATCATCACAAAGAAGTTTCTGACAATGCTTCTGTCTAGCTTTTACGGGAAGATAATTCCTTTTCCAACACAGGCCTCAAAGCCCTCCAAATGTCCACTTGCAGATTCTGGAAAAAGAGTGTTTCAAAGCTTCTCTCTCGAAAGGAAAGTTCAACTCTGTGAGTTGAATGCAAGCATCACAAAGAAGTTTCTGAGAATGCTACTGTCTAGCTTTTATATGAAGGTATTTCCTTTACTACCATAGGCCTCAAAGCGGTCCATATCTCCACTTGCAGATTCTACACAAAGAGAGTTTCCAAACTGCTCTGTCAAAGGGAATGTTCAACTCTGTGACTTGAATGCAATCATCACAAAGTAGTTTCTGAGAATGCTTCTGTTTTAGTTCTGTGCGGTTTATCCCGTTTCCAACGAAATCCTCAGAGAGGCCCAAATATCCACTTGCAGATTCTACAAATAGTGTGTTTCGAAACTGCTCCATCCAAAGGAATGTTCAGCTCTGTGAGTTAAACTCAGTCGTCACCAAGAGTTTTCTGTGAATGCTTCTGTTTTAGTTCTGTGCGGGTTATCCCGTTTCCAACGAAATCCTCAGAGAGGTCCAAATATCTACTTGCAGTTTCTACAGAAAGACCGTTTCAAACCTGAACTATCAAAGAAAGGTTCAACACTGTGAGTTGAATGCAAACATCACGAAGAAGGTTCTGAGAATGCTTCTGTTTAGTTCTGTGCGGTTTATCCCGTTTCCAACGAAATCCTCAGAGAGGACCAAATATCCACTTGCAGTTTCTACAAAAAGAGTGTTTCAAAGCTGAACTATCAAAGAAAGGTTCAGCACCGTGAGTTGAATGCAAACATCACGAAGAGTGTTCTGAGAATGCTTCTGTCTTCTTTTTATAGGAACTTATCTCCTTTACTACGGTAGGCCACAAAGAAGTGCAATGATCCCCTTGCAGTTTCTCCAAAAAGAGTGTTTCAAACCTGAACTATCAAAGAAAGGTTCCACACTGTGAGTTGAATGCAGACATCACGAAGAAGGTTCTGAGAATGCTTCTGTTTAGTCAGCTGAAATTATCCCGTTTCCAACGAATTCCTCAGAGAGGTCCAAATATGCACTTGCAGATTCTGCAGAAAGTGTGTTTCTAAACTGCTACATCGCAAGGAATGTTCAGCTCTGTGAGTTCCACTCAATCATCCCAAAGAATTTTCTGAGAAAGCTTCTGTCTAGATGTCGTGTGAAGATATACCCGTTTCGAACGAAGGACACAGAGTGGTCCAAATATCCACTTGTAGATCCTGCAAAAAGAGTGTTTCAAACGTGAACTTTGAAAGGAAAGTTCAACTCTGGGATTTGAATGCAAACATCACAAAGAAGATTCTGAGACTGCTTCTGTATAGTTTTTATGTGAAGATGATTCCGTTTCCAACGAAATCTTCAAAGAGGTCTACATGTCCCCTTGCAGATGCCACAGAAAGAGAGTTTCAAAACTGCGCTCTCAAAAGGAGTGTTCAACTCCGTGAGTTGAATGCAGTCATCACAGAGAAGCTTCTGAGAATGCTTCTATCTAGTATTTAGGTGAAGATATTTCCTTTTCCACCACAAACCACAAAGCCCTCCAAACGTCCACTTGCAGATTCTAGAAAAAGAGTGTTTCATAGCTGCTCTTTCCAAAGGAAAGTTCAACTCTGGGAGTTGAATACAAACATCACCAAAAAGTTCCTGAGAATGCATCTGTCTAGTTTTTCTATGAAGCTATTCCCTTTACTACCATAGGCCTCAAAGCACTCCAAATGTCCACTTGCACATTCCACAACAAGAGTGTTTCCAAACTGCTCTATCAATAGGAATGTACAACTCTGTGAGGTGAATGCAATCATCACAAAGCAGTTTCTGAGAATGCTTCCGTTTAGTTAGGTGCAGTTATCCCGTTTCCAACGAAATCCTCAGAGAGGTCCAAATATCCACTTGTAGATTCTACAAAAAGTGTGTCTCAAACCTGCTCCATCCAAAGGAATGTTCAGCTCTGTGATTTAAACTCAATCATCACAAAGTATTTTCTGAGAATGCTTCTGTCTAGATTTTATGCGAAGATATACCCGTTTTGAACGAATGCCACAGGAGTGGTCCAAATAGCCACTTGCAGATCCTACAAAAAGAGTGTTTCAAACCTGAACTATCAAAGGAAGGTTCAACTCTGGGATTTGAATGCAAACATCACCAAGAAGTTTCTGAGAATCCTTCCGTTTAGTTTTTATGTGAAGATATTCCCGTTTCCAAAGACATCTTCAAAGAGGTCCACATATCCACTTGCAGATTCCACAAAAAGAGAGTTTCAACACTGCTCTATCCATAGGAGGGTTCAACTCTGTGAGTTGAATGCAATCATCGCAGAGAAGTTTCTGAGAAGGCTTCTCTCCAGTTTTTATGTGACCATAATTCGTTTTCCACCACAGGCCTGAAAGCGCTCCAAATGTCCACTTGCAGACACTACGAAAAGCATGTTTCAGAACTACTCTATGAGAAGCAATGTGAAACTCTGGGAGTTGAACACAAACATCACAGAGAAGTTTCTGAGAATGCTTCTGTTTAGCTTTTCTGTGAAGATTCTCCCGTTTCCAACGAAATCTTCAAAGAGGTCCAAATATCCACTTGCAGATTCCACAGAAAGAGTGATTGGAAACTGCTCTTTGAAAAGGAACCTTCAACTCTGTGAGTTGAATGCAATCATCACAAAGAAGTTTCTGACAATGCTTCTGTCTAGCTTTTACGGGAAGATAATTCCTTTTCCACCACAGGCCTCAAAGCCCTCCAAATGTCCACTTGCAGATTCTGGAAAAAGAGTGTTTCAAAGCTTCTCTCTCGAAAGGAAAGTTCAACTCTGTGAGTTGAATGCAAGCATCACAAAGAAGTTTCTGAGAATGCTACTGTCTAGCTTTTATATGAAGCTATTTCCTTTACTACCATAGGCCTCAAAGCGGTCCATATCTCCACTTGCAGATTCTACACAAAGAGAGTTTCCAAACTGCTCTGTCAAAGGGAATGTTCAACTCTGTGACTTGAATGCAATCATCACAAAGTAGTTTCTGAGAATGCTTCTGTTTAGTTCTGTGCGGTTTATCCCGTTTCCAACGAAATCCTCAGAGAGGCCTAAATATCCACTTGCACATTCTACAAATAGTGTGTTTCGAAACTGCTCCATCCAAAGGAATGTTCAGCTCTGTGAGTTAAACTCAGTCGTCACCAAGAGTTTTCTGTGAATGCTTCTGTTTTAGTTCTGTGCGGGTTATCCCGTTTCCAACGAAATCCTCAGAGAGGTCCAAATATCTACTTGCAGTTTCTACAGAAAGACCGTTTCAAACCTGAACTATCAAAGAAAGGTTCAACACTGTGAGTTGAATGCAAACATCACGAAGAAGGTTCTGAGAATGCTTCTGTTTAGTTCTGTGCGGTTTATCCCGTTTCCAACGAAATCCTCAGAGAGGACCAAATATCCACTTGCAGTTTCTACAAGAAGAGTGTTTCAAAGCTGAACTATCAAAGAAAGGTTCAGCACTGTGAGTTGAATGCAAACATCACGAAGAGGGTTCTGAGAATGCTTCTGTCTTCTTTCTATAGGAAGTTATTTCCTTTACTACGGTAGGCCTCAAAGAAGTGCAATTATCCCCTTGCAGTTTCTACAAAAAGAGTGTTTCAAACCTGAACTATCAAAGAAAGGTTCCACACTGTGAGTTGAATGCAGACATCACGAAGAAGGTTCTGAGAATGCTTCTGTTTAGTCAGCTGAAATTATCCCGTTTCCAACGAATTCCTCAGAGAGGTCCAAATATGCACTTGCAGATTCTGCAGAAAGTGTGTTTCTAAACTGCTACATCGCAAGGAATGTTCAGCTCTGTGAGTTCCACTCAATCATCCCAAAGAATTTTCTGAGAAAGCTTCTGTCTAGATGTCGTGTGAAGTTATACCCGTTTCGAACGAAGGACACAGAGTGGTCCAAATATCCACTTGTAGATCCTGCAAAAAGAGTGTTTCAAACGTGAACTTTGAAAGGAAAGTTCAACTCTGGGATTTGAATGCAAACATCACAAAGAAGATTCTGAGACTGCTTCTGTATAGTTTTTATGTGAAGATGATTCCGTTTCCAACGAAATCTTCAAAGAGGTCTACATGTCCCCTTGCAGATGCCACAGAAAGAGAGTTTCAAAACTGCGCTCTCAAAAGGAGTGTTCAACTCCGTGAGTTGAATGCAGTCATCACAGAGAAGCTTCTGAGAATGCTTCTCTCTAGTATTTAGGTGAAGATATTTCCTTTTCCACCACAAACCACAAAGCCCTCCAAACGTCCACTTGCAGATTCTAGAAAAAGAGTGTTTCATAGCTGCTCTTTCCAAAGGAAAGTTCAACTCTGGGAGTTGAATACAAACATCACCAAAAAGTTCCTGAGAATGCATCTGTCTAGTTTTTCTATGAAGCTATTCCCTTTACTACCATAGGCCTCAAAGCGCTCCAAATCTCCACTTGCACATTCCACAACAACAGTGTTTCCAAACTGCTCTATCAATAGGAATGTTCAACTCTGTAAGGTGAATGCAATCATCACAAAGGAGTTTCTGAGAATGCTTCCGTTTAGTTAGGTGCAGTTATCCCGTTTCCAACGAAATCCTCAGAGAGGTCCAAATATCCACTTGTAGATTCTACAAAAAGTGTGTCTCAAACCTGCTCCATCCAAAGGAATGTTCAGCTCTGTGAGTTAAACTCAATCATCACAAAGTATTTTCTGAGAATGCTTCTGTCTAGATTTTATGCGAAGATATACCCGTTTCGAACGAAGGCCACAGAGTGGTCCAAATAGCCACTTGCAGATCCTACAGAAAGAGTGTTTCAAACCTGAACTATCAAAGGAAGGTTCAACTCTGGGATTTGAATGCAAACATCACCAAGAAGTTTCTGAGAATGCTTCTGTTTAGTTTTTATGTGAAGATATTCCCGTTTCCAAAGACATCTTCGGAGAGGTCCACATATCCACTTGCAGGTTCCACAAAAAGAGAGTTTCAACACTGCTCTATCCATAGGAGGGTTCAACTCTGTGAGTTGAATGCAATCATCACAGAGAAGTTTCTGAGAAGGCTTCTCTCCAGTTTTTATGTGACCATAATTCGTTTTCCACCACAGGCCTGAAAGCGCTCCAAATGTCCACTTGCAGACACTACGAAAAGCATGTTTCAGAACTACTCTATGAAAAGCAACGTGAAACTCTGGGAGTTGAACACAAACATCACAGAGAAGTTTCTGAGAATGCTTCTGTTTAGCTTTTCTGTGAAGATTCTCCCGTTTCCAACGAAATCTTCAAAGAGGTCCAAATATCCACTTGCAGATTCCACAGAAAGAGTGTTTGGAAACTGCTGTTTGTAAAGGAACCTTCATCTCTGTGAGTTGAATGCAATCATCACAAAGAAGTTTCTGACAATGCTTCTATCTAGCTTTTACGGGAAGATAATTCCTTTTCCACCACAGGCCTCAAAGCCCTCCAAATGTCCACTTGCAGATTCTGGAAAAAGAGTGTTTCAAAGCTTCTCTCTCGAAAGGAAAGTTCAACTCTGTGAGTTGAATGCAAGCATCACAAAGAAGTTTCTGAGAATGCTGCTGTCTAGCTTTTATATGAAGCTATTTCCTTTACTACCATAGGCCTCAAAGCGGTCCATATCTCCACTTGCAGATTCTACGCAAAGAGAGTTTCCAAACTGCTCTGTCAAAGGGAATGTTCAACTCTGTGACTTGAATGCAATCATCACAAAGTAGTTTCTGAGAATGCTTCTGTTTAGTTCTGTGCGGTTTATCCCGTTTCCAACGAAATCCTCAGAGAGGCCTAAATATCCACTTGCACATTCTACAAATAGTGTGTTTCGAAACTGCTCCATCCAAAGGAATGTTCAGCTCTGTGAGTTAAACTCAGTCGTCACCAAGAGTTTTCTGTGAATGCTTCTGTTTTAGTTCTGTGCAGTTTATCCCGTTTCCAACGAAATCCTCAGAGAGGTCCAAATATCTACTTGCAGTTTCTACAGAAAGACCGTTTCAAACCTGAACTATCAAAGAAAGGTTCAACACTGTGAGTTGAATGCAAACATCACGAAGAAGGTTCTGAGAATGCTTCTGTTTAGTTCTGTGCGTTTTATCCCGTTTCCAACGAAATCCTCAGAGAGGACCAAATATCCACTTGCAGTTTCTACAAAAAGAGTGTTTCAAAGCTGAACTATCAAAGAAAGGTTCAGCACTGTGAGTTGAATGCAAACATCACGAAGAGGGTTCTGAGAATGCTTCTGTCTTCTTTTTATAGGAAGTTATTTCCTTTACTACGGTAGGCCTCAAAGAAGTGCAATGATCCCCTTGCAGTTTCTACAAAAAGAGTGTTTCAAACCTGAACTATCAAAGAAAGGTTCCACACTGTGAGTTGAATGCAGACATCACGAAGAAGGTTCTGAGAATGCTTCTGTTTAGTCAGCTGAAATTATCCCGTTTCCAACGAATTCCTCAGAGAGGTCCAAATATGCACTTGCAGATTCTGCAGAAAGTGTGTTTCTAAACTGCTACATCGCAAGGAATGTTCAGCTCTGTGAGTTCCACTCAATCATCCCAAAGAATTTTCTGAGAAAGCTTCTGTCTAGATGTCGTGTGAAGATATACCCGTTTCGAACGAAGGACACAGAGTGGTCCAAATATCCACTTGTAGATCCTGCAAAAAGAGTGTTTCAAACGTGAACTTTGAAAGGAAAGTTCAACTCTGGGATTTGAATGCAAACATCACAAAGAAGATTCTGAGACTGCTTCTGTATAGTTTTTATGTGAAGATGATTCCGTTTCCAACGAAATCTTCAAAGAGGTCTACATGTCCCCTTGCAGATGCCACAGAAAGAGAGTTTCAAAACTGCGCTCTCAAAAGGAGTGTTCAACTCCGTGAGTTGAATGCAGTCATCACAGAGAAGCTTCTGAGAATGCTTCTATCTAGTATTTAGGTGAAGATATTTCCTTTTCCACCACAAACCACAAAGCCCTCCAAACGTCCACTTGCAGATTCTAGAAAAAGAGTGTTTCATAGCTGCTCTTTCCAAAGGAAAGTTCAACTCTGGGAGTTGAATACAAACATCACCAAAAAGTTCCTGAGAATGCATCTGTCTAGTTTTTCTATGAAGCTATTCCCTTTACTACCACAGGCCTCAAAGCGCTCCAAATCTCCACTTGCACATTCCACAACAAGAGTGTTTCCAAACTGCTCTATCAATAGGAATGTTCAACTCTGTGAGGTGAATGCAATCATCACAAAGCAGTTTCTGAGAATGCTTCCGTTTAGTTAGGTGCAGTTATCCCGTTTCCAACGAAATCCTCAGAGAGGTCCAAATATCCACTTGTAGATTCTACAAAAAGTGTGTCTCAAACCTGCTCCATCCAAAGGAATGGTCAGCTCTGTGATTTAAACTCAATCATCACAAAGTATTTTCTGAGAATGCTTCTGTCTAGATTTTATGCGAAGATATACCCGTTTCGAACGAAGGCCACAGAGTGGTCCAAATAGCCACTTGCAGATCCTACAGAAAGAGTGTTTCAAACCTGAACTATCAAAGGAAGGTTCAACTCTGGGATTTGAATGCAAACATCACCAAGAAGTTTCTGAGAATGCTTCTGTTTAGTTTTTATGTGAAGATATTCCCGTTTCCAAAGACATCTTCGGAGAGGTCCACATATCCACTTGCAGATTCCACAAAAAGAGAGTTTCAACACTGCTCTATCCATAGGACGGTTCAACTCTGTGAGTTGAATTCAATTATCACAGAGAAGTTTCTGAGAAGGCTTCTCTCCAGTTTTTATGGGACCATAATTCGTTTTCCACCACAGGCCTGAAAGCGCTCCAAATGTCCACTTGCAGACACTACGAAAAGCATGTTTCAGAACTACTCTATGAGAAGCAATGTGAAACTCTGGGAGTTGAACACAAACATCACAGAGAAGTTTCTGAGAATGCTTCTGTTTAACTTTTCTGTGAAGACTTTCCCGTTTCCAACGAAATCTTCAAAGAGGTCCAAATATCCACTTGCAGATTCCACAGAAAGAGTGTTTGGAAACTGCTGTTTGAAAAGGAACCTTCAACTCTGTGATTTGAATGCAATCATCACAAAGAAGTTTCTGACAATGCTTCTATCTAGCTTTTACGGGAAGATAATTCCTTTTCCACCACAGGCCTCAAAGCCCTCCAAATGTCCACTTGCAGATTCTGGAAAAAGACTGTTTCAAAGCTTCTCTCTCGAAAGGAAAGTTCAACTCAGTGAGTTGAATGCAAGCATCACAAAGAAGTTTCTGAGAATGCTACTGTCTAGCTTTTATATGAAGCTATTTCCTTTACTACCATAGGCCTCAAAGCGGTCCATATCTCCACTTGCAGATTCTACACAAAGAGAGTTTCCAAACTGCTCTGTCAAAGGGAATGTTCAACTCTGTGACTTGAATGCAATCATCACAAAGTAGTTTCTGAGAATGCTTCTGTTTTAGTTCTGTGCGGTTTATCCCGTTTCCATCGAAATCCTCAGAGAGGCCCAAATATCCACTTGCAGATTCTACAAATAGTATGTTTCGAAACTGCTCCATCCAAAGGAATGTTCAGCTCTGTGAGTTAAACTCAGTCGTCACCAAGGGTTTTCTGTGAATGCTTCTGTTTAGTTCTGTGCGGTTTATCCCTTTTCCAACGAAATCCTCAGAGAACACCAAGTATCCTCTTGCAGTTTCTACAAGAAGAGTGTTTCAAAGCTGAACTATCAAAGAAAGGTTCAGCACTGTGAGTTGAATGCAAACATCACGAAGAAGGTTCTGAGAATGCTTCTGTTTAGTTCTGTGCGGTTTATCCCGTTTCCAACGAAATCCTCAGAGAGGACCAAATATCCACTTGCAGTTTCTACAAGAAGAGTGTTTCAAAGCTGAACTATCAAAGAAAGGTTCAGCACTGTGAGTTGAATGCAAACATCACGAAGAGGGTTCTGAGAATGCTTCTGTCTTCTTTTTATAGGAAGTTATTTCCTTTACTACGGTACTCCTCAAAGAGTGCAATTATCCCCTTGCAGTTTCTACAAAAAGAGTGTTTCAAACCTGAACTATCAAAGAAAGGTTCCACACTGTGAGTTGAATGCAGACATCACGAAGAAGGTTCTGAGAATGCTTCTGTTTAGTCAGCTGAAATTATCGCGTTTCCAACGAATTCCTCAGAGAGGTCCAAATATGCACTTGCAGATTCTGCAGAAAGTGTGTTTCTAAACTGCTCCATCGCAAGGAATGTTCAGCTCTGTTAGTTCAACTCAATCATCCCAAAGAATTTTCTGAGAAAGCTTCTGTCTAGATGTCATGTGAAGATATACCCGTTTCGAACGAAGGACACAGAGTGGTCCAAATATCCACTTGTAGATCCTGCAAAAAGAGTGTTTCAAACGTGAACTTTGAAAGGAAAGTTCAACTCTGGGATTTGAATGCAAACATCACAAAGAAGATTCTGAGACTGCTTCTGTATAGTTTTTATGTGAAGATGATTCCGTTTCCAACGAAATCTTCAAAGAGGTCTACATGTCCCCTTGCAGATGCCACAGAAAGAGAGTTTCAAAACTGCGCTCCCAAAAGGAGTGTTCAACCCCGTGAGTTGAATGCAGTCATCACAGAGAAGCTTCTGAGAATGCTTCTATCTAGTATTTAGGTGAAGATATTTCCTTTTCCACCACAAACCACAAAGCCCTCCAAACGTCCACTTGCAGATTCTAGAAAAAGAGTGTTTCATAGCTGCTCTTTCCAAAGGAAAGTTCAACTCTGGGAGTTGAATACAAACATCACCAAAAAGTTCCTGAGAATGCATCTGTCTAATTTTTCTATGAAGCTATTCCCTTTACTACCATAGGCCTCAAAGCGCTCCAAATCTCCACTTGCACATTCCACAAGAAGAGTGTTTTCAAACTGCTCTATCAATAGGAATGTTCAACTCTGTGAGGTGAATGCAATCATCACAAAGCAGTTTCTGAGAATGCTTCCGTTTAGTTAGGTGCAGTTATCCCGTTTCCAACGAAATCCTCAGAGAGGTCCAAATATCCACTTGTAGATTCTACAAAAAGTGTGTCTCAAACCTGCTCCATCCAAAGGAATGGTCAGCTCTGTGATTTAAACTCAATCATCACAAAGTATTTTCTGAGAATGCTTCTGTCTAGATTTTATGCGAAGATATACCCGTTTCGAACGAAGGCCACAGAGTGGTCCAAATAGCCACTTGCAGATCCTACAGAAAGAGTGTTTCAAACCTGAACTATCAAAGGAAGGTTCAACTCTGGGATTTGAATGCAAACATCACCAAGAAGTTTCTGAGAATGCTTCTGTTTAGTTTTTATGTGAAGATATTCCCGTTTCCAAAGACATCTTCGGAGAGGTCCACATATCCACTTGCAGATTCCACAAAAAGAGAGTTTCAACACTGCTCTATCCATAGGAGGGTTCAACTCTGTGAGTTGAATGCAATCATCACAGAGAAGTTTCTGAGAAGGCTTCTCTCCAGTTTTTATGTGACCATAATTCGTTTTCCACCACAGGCCGGAAAGCGCTCCAAATGACCACTTGCAGACACTACGAAAAGCATGTTTCAGAACTACTCTATGAGAAGCAATGTGAAACTCTGGGAGTTGAACACAAATATCACAGAGAAGTTTCTGAGAATGCTTCTGTTTTAGTTCTGTGCGTTTTATCCCGTTTCCAACGAAATCCTCAGAGAGGCCCAAATATCCACTTGCAGATTCCACAGAAAGAGTGATTGGAAACTGCTGTTTGAAAAGGAACCTTCAACTCTGTGAGTTGAATGCAATCATCACAAAGAAGTTTCTGACAATGCTTCTATCTAGCTTTTACGGGAAGATAATTCCTTTTCCACCACAGGCCTCAAAGCCCTCCAAATGTCCACTTGCAGATTCTGGAAAAAGAGTGTTTCAAAGCTTCTCTCTCGAAAGGAAAGTTCAACTCTGTGAGTTGAATGCAAGCATCACAAAGAAGTTTCTGAGAATGCTACTGTCTAGCTTTTATATGAAGCTATTTCCTTTACTACCATAGGCCTCAAAGCGGTCCATATCTCCACTTGCAGATTCTACACAAAGAGAGTTTCCAAACTGCTCTGTCAAAGGGAATGTTCAACTCTGTGACTTGAATGCAATCATCACAAAGTAGTTTCTGAGAATGCTTCTGTTTAGTTCTGTGCGGTTTATCCCGTTTCCAACGAAATCCTCAGAGAGGCCCAAATATCCACTTGCACATTCTACAAATAGTGTGTTTCGAAACTGCTCCATCCAAAGGAATGTTCAGCTCTGTGAGTTAAACTCAGTCGTCACCAAGAGTTTTCTGTGAATGCTTCTGTTTTAGTTCTGTGCGGGTTATCCCGTTTCCAACGAAATCCTCAGAGAGGTCCAAATATCTACTTGCAGTTTCTACAGAAAGACCGTTTCAAACCTGAACTATCAAAGAAAGGTTCAACACTGTGAGTTGAATGCAAACATCACGAAGAAGGTTCTGAGAATGCTTCTGTTTAGTTCTGTGCGGTTTATCCCGTTTCCAACGAAATCCTCAGAGAGGACCAAATATCCACTTGCAGTTTCTACAAGAAGAGTGTTTCAAAGCTGAACTATCAAAGAAAGGTTCAGCACTGTGAGTTGAATGCAAACATCACGAAGAGGGTTCTGAGAATGCTTCTGTCTTCTTTCTATAGGAAGTTATTTCCTTTACTACGGTAGGCCTCAAAGAAGTGCAATTATCCCCTTGCAGTTTCTACAAAAAGAGTGTTTCAAACCTGAACTATCAAAGAAAGGTTCCACACTGTGAGTTGAATGCAGACATCACGAAGAAGGTTCTGAGAATGCTTCTGTTTAGTCAGCTGAAATTATCCCGTTTCCAACGAATTCCTCAGAGAGGTCCAAATATGCACTTGCAGATTCTGCAGAAAGTGTGTTTCTAAACTGCTCCATCGCAAGGAATGTTCAGCTCTGTGAGTTCCACTCAATCATCCCAAAGAATTTTCTGAGAAAGCTTCTGTCTAGATGTCCTGTGAAGATATACCCGTTTCGAACGAAGGACACAGAGTGGTCCAAATATCCACTTGTAGATCCTGCAAAAAGAGTGTTTCAAACGTGAACTTTGAAAGGAAAGTTCAACTCTGGGATTTGAATGCAAACATCACAAAGAAGATTCTGAGACTGCTTCTGTATAGTTTTTATGTGAAGATGATTCCGTTTCCAACGAAATCTTCAAAGAGGTCTACATGTCCCCTTGCAGATGCCACAGAAAGAGAGTTTCAAAACTGCGCTCTCAAAAGGAGTGTTCAACTCCGTGAGTTGAATGCAGTCATCACAGAGAAGCTTCTGAGAATGCTTCTATCTAGTATTTAGGTGAAGATATTTCCTTTTCCACCACAAACCACAAAGCCCTCCAAACGTCCACTTGCAGATTCTAGAAAAAGAGTGTTTCATAGCTGCTCTTTCCAAAGGAAAGTTCAACTCTGGGAGTTGAATACAAACATCACCAAAAAGTTCCTGAGAATGCATCTGTCTAGTTTTTCTATGAAGCTATTCCCTTTACTACCACAGGCCTCAAAGCGCTCCAAATCTCCACTTGCACATTCCACAACAAGAGTGTTTCCAAACTGCTCTATCAATAGGAATGTTCAACTCTGTGAGGTGAATGCAATCATCACAAAGCAGTTTCTGAGAATGCTTCCGTTTAGTTAGGTGCAGTTATCCCGTTTCCAACGAAATCCTCAGAGAGGTCCAAATATCCACTTGTAGATTCTACAAAAAGTGTGTCTCAAACCTGCTCCATCCAAAGGAATGTTCAGCTCTGTGAGTTCAACTCAATCATCACAAAGTATTTTCTGAGAATGCTTCTGTCTAGATTTTATGCGAAGATGTACCCGTTTTGAACGAAGGCCACAGAGTGGTCCAAATATCCACTTGCAGATCCTACAAAAAGAGTGTTTCAAACCTGAACTATCAAAGGAAGGTTCAACTCTGGGATTTGAATGCAAACATCACCAAGAAGTTTCTGAGAATGCTTCTGTTTAGTTTTTATGTGAAGATATTCCCGTTTCCAAAGACATCTTCGGAGAGGTCCACATATCCACTTGCAGATTCCACAAAAAGAGAGTTTCAACACTGCTCTATCCATAGGAGGGTTAAACTCTGTGAGTTGAATGCAATCATCACAGAGAAGTTTCTGAGAAGGCTTCTCTCCAGTTTTTATGTGACCATAATTCGTTTTCCACCACAGGCCTGAAAGCGCTCCAAATGTCCACTTGCAGACACTATGAAAAGCATGTTTCAGAACTACTCTATGAAAAGCAATGTGAAACTCTCGGAGTTGAACACAAACATCACAGAGAAGTTTCTGAGAATGCTTCTGTTTTAGTTCTGTGCGTTTTATCCCGTTTCCAACGAAATCCTCAGAGAGGCCCAAATATCCACTTGCAGATTCCACAGAAAGAGTGATTGGAAACTGCTGTTTGAAAAGGAACCTTCAACTCTGTGAGTTGAATGCAATCATCACAAAGAAGTTTCTGACAATGCTTCTATCTAGCTTTTACGGGAAGATAATTCCTTTTCCACCACAGGCCTCAAAGCCCTCCAAATGTCCACTTGCAGATTCTGGAAAAAGAGTGTTTCAAAGCTTCTCTCTCGAAAGGAAAGTTCAACTCTGTGAGTTGAATGCAAGCATCACAAAGAAGTTTCTGAGAATGCTACTGTCTAGCTTTTATATGAAGCTATTTCCTTTACTACCATAGTCCTCAAAGCGGTCCATATCTCCACTTGCAGATTCTACACAAAGAGAGTTTCCAAACTGCTCTGTCAAAGGGAATGTTCAACTCTGTGACTTGAATGCAATCATCACAAAGTAGTTTCTGAGAATGCTTCTGTTTAGTTCTGTGCGGTTTATCCCGTTTCCAACGAAATCCTCAGAGAGGCCTAAATATCCACTTGCACATTCTACAAATAGTGTGTTTCGAAACTGCTCCATCCAAAGGAATGTTCAGCTCTGTGAGTTAAACTCAGTCGTCACCAAGAGTTTTCTGTGAATGCTTCTGTTTTAGTTCTGTGCGGGTTATCCCGTTTCCAACGAAATCCTCAGAGAGGTCCAAATATCTACTTGCAGTTTCTACAGAAAGACCGTTTCAAACCTGAACTATCAAAGAAAGGTTCAACACTGTGAGTTGAATGCAAACATCACGAAGAAGGTTCTGAGAATGCTTCTGTTTAGTACTGTGCGGTTTATCCCATTTCCAACGAAATCCTCAGAGAGGACCAAATATCCAGTTGCAGTTTCTACAAAAAGAGTGTTTCAAAGCTGAACTATCAAAGAAAGGTTCAGCACTGTGTGTTGAATGCAAACATCACGAAGAGGGTTCTGAGAATGCTTCTGTCTTCTTTTTATAGGAAGTTATTTCCTTTACTACGGTAGGCCTCAAAGAAGTGCAATTATCCCCTTGCAGTTTCTACAAAAAGAGTGTTTCAAACCTGAACTATCAAAGAAAGGTTCCACACTGTGAGTTGAATGCAGACATCACGAAGAAGGTTCTGAGAATGCTTCTGTTTAGTCAGCTGAAATTATCCCGTTTCCAACGAATTCCTCAGAGAGGTCCACAAATGCACTTGCAGATTCTGCAGAAAGTGTGTTTCTAAACTGCTACATCGCAAGGAATGTTCAGCTCTGTGAGTTCAACTCAATCATCCCAAAGAATTTTCTGAGAAAGCTTCTGTCTAGATGTCATGTGCAGATATACCCGTTTCGAAAGAAGGACACAGAGTGGTCCAAATATCCACTTGTAGATCCTGCAAAAAGAGTGTTTCAAACGTGAACTTTGAAAGGAAAGTTCAACTCTGGGATTTGAATGCAAACATCACAAAGAAGATTCTGAGACTGCTTCTGTATAGTTTTTATGTGAAGATGATTCCGTTTCCAACGAAATCTTCAAAGAGGTCCACATGTCCCCTTGCGGATGCCACAGAAAGAGAGTTTCAAAACTGCGCTCTCAAAAGGAGTGTTCAACTCCGTGAGTTGAATGCAGTCATCACAGAGAAGCTTCTGAGAATGCTTCTATCTAGTATTTAGGTGAAGATATTTCCTTTTCCACCACAAACCACAAAGCCCTCCAAACGTCCACTTGCAGATTCTAGAAAAACAGTGTTTCATAGCTGCTCTTTCCAAAGGAAAGTTCAACTCTGGGAGTTGAATACAAACATCACCAAAAAGTTCCTGAGAATGCATCTGTCTAGTTTTTCTATGAAGCTATTCCCTTTACTACCATAGGCCTCAAAGCGCTCCAAATCTCCACTTGCACATTCCACAACAAGAGTGTTTCCAAACTGCTCTATCAATAGGAATGTTCAACTCTGTGAGGTGAATGCAATCATCACAAAGTAGTTTCTGAGAATGCTTCCGTTTAGTTAGGTGCAGTTATCGCGTTTCCAACG
Source organism: Homo sapiens (assembly GCF_000001405.40). NCBI lineage: Eukaryota > Metazoa > Chordata > Mammalia > Primates > Hominidae > Homo > Homo sapiens. The sequence continues at coordinate 26,273,787 of NC_000017.11, read as the reverse complement.
AAATCCTCAGAGAGGTCCAAATATCCACTTGTAGATTCTACAAAAAGTGTGTCTCAAACCTGCTCCATCCAAAGGAATGTTCAGCTCTGTGAGTTAAACTCAATCATCACAAAGTATTTTCTGAGAATGCTTCTGTCTAGATTTTATGTGAAGATGTACCCGTTTGGAACGAAGGCCACAGAGTGGTCCAAATATCCACTTGCAGATCCTACAAAAAGAGTGTTTCAAACCTGAACTATCACAGGAAGGTTCAACTCTGGGATTTGAATGCAAACATCACCAAGAAGTTTCTGAGAATGCTTCTGTTTAGTTTTTATGTGAAGATATTCCCGTTTCCAAAGACATCTTCGGAGAGGTCCACGTATCCACTTGCAGATTCCACAAAAAGAGAGTTTCAACACTGCTCTATCCATAGGAGGGTTCAACTCTGTGAGTTGAATGCAATCATCACAGAGAAGTTTCTGAGAAGGCTTCTCTCCAGTTTTTATGTGACCATAATTCGTTTTCCACCACAGGCCTGAAAGCGCTCCAAATGTCCACTTGTAGACACTACGAAAAGCATGTTTCAGAACTACTCTATGAAAAGCAATGTGAAACTCTGGGAGTTGAACACAAACATCACAGAGAAGTTTCTGAGAATGCTTCTGTTTAGCTTTCCTGTGAAGATTCTCCCGTTTCCAACGAAATCTTCAAAATAGGTCCAAATATCCACTTGCAGATTCCACAGAAAGAGTGATTGGAAACTGCTCTTTGAAAAGGAACCTTCAACTCTGTGAGTTGAATGCAATCATCACAAAGAAGTTTCTGACAATGCTTCTATCCAGCTTTTACGGGAAGATAATTCCTTTTCCACCACAGGCCTCAAAGCCCTCCAAATGTCCACTTGCAGATTCTGGAAAAAGAGTGTTTCAAAGCTTCTCTCTCGAAAGGAAAGTTCAACTCTGTGAGTTGAATGCAAGCATCACAAAGAAGTTTCTGAGAATGCTACTGTCTAGCTTTTATATGAAGCTATTTCCTTTACTACCATAGTCCTCAAAGCATTCCATATCTCCACTTGCAGATTCTACACAAAGAGAGTTTCCAAACTGCTCTGTCAAAGGGAATGTTCAGCTCTGTGACTTGAATGCAATCATCACAAAGTAGTTTCTGAGAATGCTTCTGTTTAGTTCTGTGCGGTTTATCCCGTTTCCAACGAAATCCTCAGAGAGGCCCAAATATCCACTTGCACATTCTACAAATAGTGTGTTTCGAAACTGCTCCATCCAAAGGAATGTTCAGCTCTGTGAGTTAAACTCAGTCGTCACCAAGAGTTTTCTGTGAATGCTTCTGTTTTAGTTCTGTGCGGGTTATCCCGTTTCCAACGAAATCCTCAGAGAGGTCCAAATATCTACTTGCAGTTTCTACAGAAAGACCGTTTCAAACCTGAACTATCAAAGAAAGGTTCAACACTGTGAGTTGAATGCAAACATCACGAAGAAGGTTCTGAGAATGCTTCTGTTTAGTTCTGTGCGGTTTATCCCGTTTCCAACGAAATCCTCAGAGAGGACCAAATATCCACTTGCAGTTTCTACAAGAAGAGTGTTTCAAAGCTGAACTATCAAAGAAAGGTTCAGCACTGTGAGTTGAATGCAAACATCACGAAGAGGGTTCTGAGAATGCTTCTGTCTTCTTTCTATAGGAAGTTATTTCCTTTACTACGGTAGGCCTCAAAGAAGTGCAATTATCCCCTTGCAGTTTCTACAAAAAGAGTGTTTCAAACCTGAACTATCAAAGAAAGGTTCCACACTGTGAGTTGAATGCAGACATCACGAAGAAGGTTCTGAGAATGCTTCTGTTTAGTCAGCTGAAATTATCCCGTTTCCAACGAATTCCTCACAGAGGTCCAAATATGCACTTGCAGATTCTGCAGAAAGTGTGTTTCTAAACTGCTACATCGCAAGGAATGCTCAGCTCTGTGAGTTCAACTCAATCATCCCAAAGAATTTTCTGAGAAAGCTTCTGTCTAGATGTCATGTGAAGATATAACCGTTTCGAACGAAGGACACAGAGTGGTCCAAATATCCACTTGTAGATCCTGCAAAAAGAGTGTTTCAAACGTGAACTTTGAAAGGAAAGTTCAACTCGGGGATTTGAATGCAAACATCACAAAGAAGATTCTGAGACTGCTTCTGTATAGTTTTTATGTGAAGATGATTCCGTTTCCAACGAAATCTTCAAAGAGGTCTACATGTCCCCTTGCAGATGCCACAGAAAGAGAGTTTCAAAACTACGCTCTCAAAAGGAGTGTTCAACTCCGTGAGTTGAATGCAGTCATCACAGAGAAGCTTCTGAGAATGCTTCTATCTAGTATTTAGGTGAAGATATTTCCTTTTCCACCACAAACCACAAAGCCCTCCAAACGTCCACTTGCAGATTCTAGAGAAACAGTGTCTCATAGCTGCTCTTTCCAAAGGAAAGTTCAACTCTGGGAGTTGAATACAAACATCACCAAAAAGTTCCTGAGAATGCATCTGTCTAGTTTTTCTATGAAGCTATTCCCTTTACTACCATAGGCCTCAAAGCGCTCCAAATCTCCACTTGCACATTCCACAACAAGAGTGTTTCCAAACTGCTCTATCAATAGGAATGTTCAACTCTGTGAGGTGAATGCAATCATCACAAAGCAGTTTCTGAGAATGCTTCCGCTTAGTTAGGTGCAGTTATCCCGTTTCCAACGAAATCCTCAGAGAGGTCGAAATATCCACTTGTAGATTCTACAAAAAGTGTGTCTCAAACCTGCTCCATCCAAAGGAATGTTCAGCTCTGTGAGTTAAACTCAATCATCACAAAGTATTTTCTGAGAATGCTTCTGTCTAGATTTTATGTGAAGATGTACCCGTTTCGAACGAAGGCCACAGAGTGGTCCAAATATCCACTTGCAGATCCTACAAAAAGAGTGTTTCAAACCTGAACTATCAAAGGAAGGTTCAACTCTGGGATTTGAATGCAAACATCACCAAGAAGTTTCTGAGAATGCTTCTGTTTAGTTTTTATGTGAAGATAGTCCCGTTTCCAAAGACATCTTCGGAGAGGTCCACATATCCACTTGCAGATTCCACAAAAAGAGAGTTTCAACACTGCTCTATCCATAGGAGGGTTCAACTCTGTGAGTTGAATGCAATCATCACAGAGAAGTTTCTGAGAAGGCTTCTCTCCAGTTTTTATGTGACCATAATTCGTTTTCCACCACAGGCCTGAAAGCGCTCCAAATGTCCCCTTGCAGACACTACGAAAAGCATGTTTCAGAACTACTCTATGAGAAGCAATGTGACACTCTGGGAGTTGAACTCAAACATCACAGAGAAGTTTCTGAGAATGCTTCTGTTTTAGTTCTGTGCGTTTTATCCCGTTTCCAACGAAATCCTCAGAGAGGCCCAAATATCCACTTGCAGATTCCACAGAAAGAGTGATTGGAAACTGCTGTTTGAAAAGGAACCTTCAACTCTGTGAGTTGAATGCAATCATCACAAAGAAGTTTCTGACAATGCTTCTATCTAGGCTTTTACGGGAAGATAATTCCTTTTCCACCACAGGCCTCAAAGCCCTCCAAATGTCCACTTGCAGATTCTGGAAAAAGACTGTTTCAAAGCTTCTCTCTCGAAAGGAAAGTTCAACTCTGTGAGTTGAATGCAAGCATCACAAAGAAGTTTCTGAGAATGCTACTGTCTAGCTTTTATATGAAGCTATTTCCTTTACTACCATAGGCCTCAAAGCGGTCCATATCTCCACTTGCAGATTCTACACAAAGAGAGTTTCCAAACTGCTCTGTCAAAGGGAATGTTCAACTCTGTGACTTGAATGCAATCATCACAAAGTAGTTTCTGAGAATACTTCTGTTTAGTTCTGTGCGGTTTATCCCGTTTCCAACGAAATCCTCAGAGAGGCCCACATATCCACTTGCACCTTCTAGAAATAGTGTGTTTCGAAACTGCTCCATCCAAAGGAATGTTCAGCTCTGTGAGTTAAACTCAGTCGTCACCAAGAGTTTTCTGTGAATGCTTCTGTTTTAGTTGTGTGCGGTTTATCCCGTTTCCAACGAAATCCTCAGAAAGGTCCAAATATCTACTTGCAGTTTCTACAGAAAGACCGTTTCAAACCTGAACTATCAAAGAAAGGTTCAACACTGTGAGTTGAATGCAAACATCACGAAGAAGGTTCTGAGAATGCTTCTGTTTAGTTCTGTGCGGTTTATCCCGTTTCCAACGAAATCCTCAGAGAGGACCAAATATCCACTTGCAGTTTCTACAAGAAGAGTGTTTCAAAGCTGAACTATCAAAGAAAGGTTCAGCACTGTGAGTTGAATGCAAACATCACGAAGAGGGTTCTGAGAATGCTTCTGTCTTCTTTCTATAGGAAGTTATTTCCTTTACTACGGTAGGCCTCAAAGAAGTGCAATTATCCCCTTGCAGTTTCTACAAAAAGAGTGTTTCAAACCTGAACTATCAAAGAAAGGTTCCACACTGTGAGTTGAATGCAGACATCACGAAGAAGGTTCTGAGAATGCTTCTGTTTAGTCAGCTGAAATTATCCCGTTTCCAACGAATTCCTCAGAGAGGTCCAAATATGCACTTGCAGATTCTGCAGAAAGTGTGTTTCTAAACTGCTACATCACAAGGAATGTTCAGCTCTGTGAGTTCCACTCAATCATCCCAAAGAATTTTCTGAGAAAGCTTCTGTCTAGATGTCGTGTGAAGATATACCCGTTTCGAACGAAGGACACAGAGTGGTCCAAATATCCACTTGTAGATCCTGCAAAAAGAGTGTTTCAAACGTGAACTTTGAAAGGAAAGTTCAACTCTGGGATTTGAATGCAAACATCACAAAGAAGATTCTGAGACTGCTTCTGTATAGTTTTTATGTGAAGATGATTCCGTTTCCAACGAAATCTTCAAAGAGGTCTACATGTCCCCTTGCAGATGCCACAGAAAGAGAGTTTCAAAACTACGCTCTCAAAAGGAGTGTTCAACTCCGTGAGTTGAATGCAGTCATCACAGAGAAGCTTCTGAGAATGCTTCTATCTAGTATTTAGGTGAAGATATTTCCTTTTCCACCACAAACCACAAAGCCCTCCAAACGTCCACTTGCAGATTCTAGAAAAAGAGTGTTTCATAGCTGCTCTTTCCAAAGGAAAGTTCAACTCTGGGAGTTGAATACAAACATCACCAAAAAGTTCCTGAGAATGCATCTGTCTAGTTTTTCTATGAAGCTATTCCCTTTACTACCATAGGCCTCAAAGCGCTCCAAATCTCCACTTGCACATTCCACAACAAGAGTGTTTCCAAACTGCTCTATCAATAGGAATGTTCAACTCTGTGAGGTGAATGCAATCATCACAAAGCAGTTTCTGAGAATGCTTCCGTTTAGTTAGGTGCAGTTATCCCGTTTCCAACGAAATCCTCAGAGAGGTCCAAATATCCACTTGTAGATTCTACAAAAAGTGTGTCTCAAACCTGCTCCATCCAAAGGAATGTTCAGCTCTGTGATTTAAACTCAATCATCACAAAGTATTTTCTGAGAATGCTTCTGTCTAGATTTTATGCGAAGATATACCCGTTTCGAACGAAGGCCACAGAGTGGTCCAAATATCCACTTGCAGATCCTACAAAAAGAGTGTTTCAAACCTGAACTATCAAAGGAAGGTTCAACTCTGGGATTTGAATGCAAACATCACCAAGAAGTTTCTGAGAATGCTTCTGTTTAGTTTTTATGTGAAGATATTCCCGTTTCCAAAGACATCTTCGGAGAGGTCCACATATCCACTTGCAGATTCCACAAAAAGAGAGTTTCAACACTGCTCTATCCATAGGAGGGTTCAACTCTGTGAGTTGAATGCAATCATCACAGAGAAGTTTCTGAGAAGGCTTCTCTCCAGTTTTTATGTGACCATAATTCGTTTTCCACCACAGGCCTGAAAGCGCTCCAAATGTCCACTTGCAGACACTACGAAAAGCATGTTTCAGAACTACTCTATGAAAAGCAACGTGAAACTCTGGGAGTTGAACACAAACATCACAGAGAAGTTTCTGAGAATGCTTCTGTTTTAGTTCTGTGCGTTTTATCCCGTTTCCAACGAAATCCTCAGAGAGGCCCAAATATCCACTTGCAGATTCCACAGAAAGAGTGATTGGAAACTGCTGTTTGAAAAGGAACCTTCAACTCTGTGAGTTGAATGCAATCATCACAAAGAAGTTTCTGACAATGCTTCTATCTAGCTTTTACGGGAAGTTAATTCCTTTTCCACCACAGGCCTCAAAGCCCTCCAAATGTCCACTTGCAGATTCTGGAAAAAGAGTGTTTCAAAGCTTCTCTCTCGAAAGGAAAGTTCAACTCTGTGAGTTGAATGCAAGCATCACAAAGAAGTTTCTGAGAATGCTACTGTCTAGCTTTTATATGAAGCTATTTCCTTTACTACCATAGGCCTCAAAGCGGTCCATATCTCCACTTGCAGATTCTACACAAAGAGAGTTTCCAAACTGCTCTGTCAAAGGGAATGTTCAACTCTGTGACTTGAATGCAATCATCACAAAGTAGTTTCTGAGAATGCTTCTGTTTAGTTCTGTGCGGTTTATCCCGTTTCCAACGAAATCCTCAGAGAGGCCCACATATCCACTTGCACATTCTACAAATAGTGTGTTTCGAAACTGCTCCATCCAAAGGAATGTTCAGCTCTGTGAGTTAAACTCAGTCGTCACCAAGAGTTTTCTGTGAATGCTTCTGTTTTAGTTCTGTGCGGTTTATCCCGTTTCAAACGAAATCCTCAGAGAGGTCCAAATATCTACTTGCAGTTTCTACAGAAAGACCGTTTCAAACCTGAACTATCAAAGAAAGGTTCAACACTGTGAGTTGAATGCAAACATCACGAAGAAGGTTCTGAGAATGCTTCTGTTTAGTTCTGTGCGGTTTATCCCTTTTCCAACGAAATCCTCAGAGAGGACCAAATATCCACTTGCAGTTTCTACAAAAAGAGTGTTTCAAAGCTGAACTATCAAAGAAAGGTTCAGCACCGTGGGTTGAATGCAAACATCACGAAGAGGGTTCTGAGAATGCTTCTGTCTTCTTTTTATAGGAAGTTATTTCCTTTACTACGTTAGGCCTCAAAGAAGTGCAATTATCTCCTTGCAGTTTCTACAAAAAGAGTGTTTCAAACCTGAACTATCAAAGAAAGGTTCCACACTGTGAGTTGAATGCAGACATCACGAAGAAGGTTCTGAGAATGCTTCTGTTTAGTCAGCTGAAATTATCCCGTTTCCAACGAATTCCTCAGAGAGGTCCACATATGCACTTGCAGATTCTGCAGAAAGTGTGTTCCTAAACTGCTACATTGCAAGGAATGTTCAGCTCTGTGAGTTCAACTCAATCATCCCAAAGAATTTTCTGAGAAAGCTTCTGTCTAGATGTCGTGTGAAGATATACCCGTTTCGAACGAAGGACACAGAGTGGTCCAAATATCCACTTGTAGATCCTGCAAAAAGAGTGTTTCAAACGTGAACTTTGAAAGGAAAGTTCAACTCTGGGATTTGAATGCAAACATCACAAAGAAGATTCTGAGACTGCTTCTGTATAGTTTTTATGTGAAGATGATTCCGTTTCCAACGAAATCTTCAAAGAGGTCTACATGTCCCCTTGCAGATGCCACAGAAAGAGAGTTTCAAAACTGCGCTCTCAAAAGGAGTGTTCAACTCCGTGAGTTGAATGCAGTCATCACAGAGAAGCTTCTGAGAATGCTTCTATCTAGTATTTAGGTGAAGATATTTCCTTTTCCACCACAAACCACAAAGCCCTCCAAACGTCCACTTGCAGATTCTAGAAAAAGAGTGTTTCATAGCTGCTCTTTCCAAAGGAAAGTTCAACTCTGGGAGTTGAATACAAACATCACCAAAAGGTTCCTGAGAATGCATCTGTCTAGTTTTTCTATGAAGCTATTCCCTTTACTACCACAGGCCTCAAAGCGCTCCAAATCTCCACTTGCACATTCCACAACAAGAGTGTTTCCAAACTGCTCTATCAATAGGAATGTTCAACTCTGTGAGGTGAATGCAATCATCACAAAGCAGTTTCTGAGAATGCTTCCGTTTAGTTAGGTGCAGTTATCCCGTTTCCAACGAAATCCTCAGAGAGGTCCAAATATCCACTTGTAGATTCTACAAAAAGTGTGTCTCAAACCTGCTCCATCCAAAGGAATGGTCAGCTCTGTGATTTAAACTCAATCATCACAAAGTATTTTCTGAGAATGCTTCTGTCTAGATTTTATGCGAAGATATACCCGTTTCGAACGAAGGCCACAGAGTGGTCCAAATATCCACTTGCAGATCCTACAAAAAGAGTGTTTCAAACCTGAACTATCAAAGGAAGGTTCAACTCTGGGATTTGAATGCAAACATCACCAAGAAGTTTCTGAGAATGCTTCTGTTTAGTTTTTATGTGAAGATATTCCCGTTTCCAAAGACATCTTCGGAGAGGTCCACATATCCACTTGCAGATTCCACAAAAAGAGAGTTTCAACAATGCTCTATCCATAGGAGGGTTCAAATCTGTGAGTTGAATGCAATCATCACAGAGAAGTTTCTGAGAAGGCTTCTCTCCAGTTTTTATGGGACCATAATTCGTTTTGCACCACAGGCCTGAAAGCGCTCCAAATGTCCACTTGCAGACACTACGAAAAGCATGTTTCAGAACTACTCTATGAAAAGCAACGTGAAACTCTGGGAGTTGAACACAAACATCACAGAGAAGTTTCTGAGAATGCTTCTGTTTAGCTTTTCTGTGAAGATTCTCCCGTTTCCAACGAAATCTTCAAAGAGGTCCAAATATCCACTTGCAGATTCCACAGAAAGAGTGTTTGGAAACTGCTGTTTGTAAAGGAACCTTCATCTCTGTGAGTTGAATGCAATCATCACAAAGAAGTTTCTGACAATGCTTCTATCTAGCTTTTACGGGAAGATAATTCCTTTTCCACCACAGGCCTCAAAGCCCTCCAAATGTCCACTTGCAGATTCTGGAAAAAGAGTGTTTCAAAGCTTCTCTCTCGAAAGGAAAGTTCAACTCTGTGAGTTGAATGCAAGCATCACAAAGAAGTTTCTGAGAATGCTACTGTCTAGCTTTTATATGAAGCTATTTCCTTTACTACCATAGGCCTCAAAGCGGTCCATATCTCCACTTGCAGATTCTACACAAAGAGAGTTTCCAAACTGCTCTGTCAAAGGGAATGTTCAACTCTGTGACTTGAATGCAATCATCACAAAGTAGTTTCTGAGAATGCTTCTGTTTATTTCTTTGCCATTTATCCCGTTTCCAACGAAATCCTCAGAGAGGCCCAAATATCCACTTGCACATTCTATAAATAGTGTGTTTCGAAACTGCTCCCTCCAAAGGAGTGTTCAGCTCTGTGAGTTAAACTCAGTCGTCACCAAGAGTTTTCTGTGAATGCTTCTGTTTTAGTTCTGTGCGGGGTATCCCGTTTCCAACGAAATCCTCAGAGAGGTCCAAATATCTACTTGCAGTTTCTGCAGAAAGACCGTTTCAAACCTGAACTATCAAAGAAAGGTTCAACACTGTGAGTTGAATGCAAACATCACGAAGAAGGTTCTGAGAATGCTTCTGTTTAGTTCTGTGCAGTTTATCCCGTTTCCAACGAAATCCTCAGAGAGGACCAAATATCCACTTGCAGTTTCTACAAAAAGAGTGTTTCAAAGCTGAACTATCAAAGAAAGGTTCAGCACTGTGAGTTGAATGCAAACATCACGAAGAGGGTTCTGAGAATGCTTCTGTCTTCTTTTTATAGGAAGTTATTTCCTTTACTACGGTACTCCTCAAAGAGTGCAATTATCCCCTTGCAGTTTCTACAGAAAGAGTGTTTCAAACCTGAACTATCAAAGAAAGGTTCCACACTGTGAGTTGAATGCAGACATCACGAAGAAGGTTCTGAGAATGCTTCTGTTTAGTCAGCTGAAATTATCCCGTTTCCAACGAATTCCTCACAGAGGTCCAAATATGCACTTGCAGATTCTGCAGAAAGTGTGTTTCTAAACTGCTACATCGCAAGGAATGCTCAGCTCTGTGAGTTCAACTCAATCATCGCAAAGAATTTTCTGAGAAAGCTTCTGTCTAGATGTCATGTGAAGATATACCCGTTTCGAACGAAGGACACAGAGTGGTCCAAATATCCACTTGTAGATCCTGCAAAAAGAGTGTTTCAAACGTGAACTTTGAAAGGAAAGTTCAACTCTGGGATTTGAATGCAAACATCACAAAGAAGATTCTGAGACTGCTTCTGTATAGTTTTTATGTGAAGATGATTCCGTTTCCAACGAAATCTTCAAAGAGGTCTACATGTCCCCTTGCAGATGCCACAGAAAGAGAGTTTCAAAACTGCGCTCTCAAAAGGAGTGTTCAACTCCGTGAGTTGAATGCAGTCATCACAGAGAAGCTTCTGAGGATGCTTCTATCTAGTATTTAGGTGAAGATATTTCCTTTTCCACCACAAACCACAAAGCCCTCCAAACGTCCACTTGCAGATTCTAGAAAAAGAGTGTTTCATAGCTGCTCTTTCCAAAGGAAAGTTCAACTCTGGGAGTTGAATACAAACATCACCAAAAAGTTCCTGAGAATGCATCTGTCTAGTTTTTCTATGAAGCTATTCCCTTTACTACCATAGGCCTCAAAGCGCTCCAAATCTCCACTTGCACATTCCACAAGAAGAGTGTTTCCAAACTGCTCTATCAATAGGAATGTTCAACTCTGTGAGGTGAATGCAATCATCACAAAGCAGTTTCTGAGAATGCTTCCGTTTAGTTAGGTGCAGTTATCCCGTTTCCAACGAAATCCTCAGAGAGGCCCAAATATCCACTTGTAGATTCTACAAAAAGTGTGTCTCAAACCTGCTCCATCCAAAGGAATGTTCAGCTCTGTGAGTTCAACTCAATCATCACAAAGTATTTTCTGAGAATGCTTCTGTCTAGATTTTATGCGAAGATATATCCGTTTCGAACGAAGGCCACAGAGTGGTCCAAATAGCCACTTGCAGATCCTACAAAAAGAGTGTTTCAAACCTGAACTATCAAAGGAAGGTTCAACTCTGGGATTTGAATGCAAACATCACCAAGAAGTTTCTGAGAATGCTTCTGTTTAGTTTTTATGTGAAGATAGTCCCGTTTCCAAAGAAATCTTCGGAGAGGTCCACATATCCACTTGCAGATTCCACAAAAAGAGAGTTTCAACACTGCTCTATCCATAGGAGGGTTCAACTCTGTGAGTTGAATGCAATCATCACAGAGAAGTTTCTGAGAAGGCTTCTCTCCAGTTTTTATGTGACCATAATTCGTTTTCCACCACAGGCCTGAAAGCGCTCCAAATGTCCACTTGCAGACACTACGAAAAGCATGTTTCAGAACTACTCTATGAAAAGCAATGTGAAACTCTGGGAGTTGAACACAAACATCACAGAGAAGTTTCTGAGAATGCTTCTGTTTAGCTTTTCTGTGAAGATTCTCCCGTTTCCAACGAAATCTTCAAAGAGGTCGAAATATCCACTTGCAGATTCCACAGAAAGAGTGATTGGAAACTGCTGTTTGAAAAGGAACCTTCAACTCTGTGAGTTGAATGCAATCATCACAAAGAAGTTTCTGACAATGCTTCTATCTAGCTTTTACGGGAAGATAATTCCTTTTCCACCACAGGCCTCAAAGCCCTCCAAATGTCCACTTGCAGATTCTGGAAAAAGAGTGTTTCAAAGCTTCTCTCTCGAAAGGAAAGTTCAACTCTGTGAGTTGAATGCAAGCATCACAAAGAAGTTTGCTGAGAATGCTACTGTCTAGCTTTTATATGAAGCTATTTCCTTTACTACCATAGTCCTCAAAGCATTCCATATCTCCACTTGCAGATGCTACACAAAGAGAGTTTCCAAACTGCTCTGTCAAAGGGAATGTTCTGCTCTGTGACTTGAATGCAATCATCACAAAGTAGTTTCTGAGAATGCTTCTGTTTTATATCTGTGCGGTTTATCCCGTTTCCATCGAAATCCTCAGAGAGGCCCAAATATCCACTTGCAGATTCTACAAATAGTGTGTTTCAAAACTGCTCCCTCCAAAGGAATGTTCAGCTCTGTGAGTTAAACTCAGTCGTCACCAAGTGTTTTCTGTGAATGCTTCTGTTTTAGTTCTGTGCGGTTTATCCCGTTTCCAACGAAATCCTCAGAGAGGTCCAAATATCTACTTGCAGTTTCTACAGAAAGACCGTTTCAAACCTGAACTATCAAAGAAAGGTTCAACACTGTGAGTTGAATGCAAACATCACGAAGAAGGTTCTGAGAAAGCTTCTGTTTAGTTCTGTGCGGTTTATCCCTTTTCCAACGAAATCCTCAGAGAGGACCAAATATCCACTTGCAGTTTCTACAAAAAGAGTGTTTCAAAGCTGAACTATCAAAGAAAGGTTCAGCACCGTGAGTTGAATGCAAACATCACGAAGAGGGTTCTGGGAATGCTTCTGTCTTCTTTCTATAGGAAGTTATTTCCTTTACTACGGTAGGCCTCAAAGAAGTGCAATTATCCCCTTGCAGTTTCTACAAAAAGAGTGTTTCAAACCTGAACTATCAAAGAAAGGTTCCACACTGTGAGTTGAATGCAGACATCACGAAGAAGGTTCTGAGAATGCTTCTGTTTAGTCAGCTGAAATTATCGCGTTTCCAATGAATTCCTCAGAGAGGTCCAAATATGCACTTGCAGATTCTGCAGAAAGTGTGTTTCTAAACTGCTCCATCGCAAGGAATGTTCAGCTCTGTGAGTTCAACTCAATCATGCCAAAGAATTTTCTGAGAAAGCTTCTGTCTAGATGTCATGTGAAGATATACCCGTTTCGAACGAAGGACACAGAGTGGTCCAAATATCCACTTGTAGATCCTGCAAAAAGAGTGTTTCAAACGTGAACTTTGAAAGGAAAGTTCAACTCTGGGATTTGAATGCAAACATCACAAAGAAGATTCTGAGACTGCTTCTGTATAGTTTTTATGTGAAGATGATTCCGTTTCCAACGAAATCTTCAAAGAGGTCTACATGTCCCCTTGCAGATGCCACAGAAAGAGAGTTTCAAAACTGCGCTCTCAAAAGGAGTGTTCAACTCCGTGAGTTGAATGCAGTCATCACAGAGAAGCTTCTGAGGATGCTTCTATCTAGTATTTAGGTGAAGATATTTCCTTTTCCACCACAAACCACAAAGCCCTCCAAACGTCCACTTGCAGATTCTAGAAAAAGAGTGTTTCATAGCTGCTCTTTCCAAAGGAAAGTTCAACTCTGGGAGTTGAATACAAACATCACCAAAAAGTTCCTGAGAATGCATCTGTCTAGTTTTTCTATGAAGCTATTCCCTTTACTACCATAGGCCTCAAAGCGCTCCAAATCTCCACTTGCACATTCCACAACAAGAGTGTTTCCAAACTGCTCTATCAATAGGAATGTTCAACTCTGTGAGGTGAATGCAATCATCACAAAGCAGTTTCTGAGAATGCTTCCGTTTAGTTAGGTGCAGTTATCCCGTTTCCAACGAAATCCTCAGAGAGGTCCAAATATCCACTTGTAGATTCTACAAAAAGTGTGTCTCAAACCTGCTCCATCCAAAGGAATGGTCAGCTCTGTGATTTAAACTCAATCATCACAAAGTATTTTCTGAGAATGCTTCTGTCTAGATTTTATGCGAAGATATACCCGTTTCGAACGAAGGCCACAGAGTGGTCCAAATAGCCACTTGCAGATCCTACAGAAAGAGTGTTTCAAACCTGAACTATCAAAGGAAGGTTCAACTCTGGGATTTGAATGCAAACATCACCAAGAAGTTTCTGAGAATGCTTCTGTTTAGTTTTTATGTGAAGATATTCCCGTTTCCAAAGACATCTTCGGAGAGGTCCACATATCCACTTGCAGATTCCACAAAAAGAGAGTTTCAACACTGCTCTATCCATAGGAGGGTTCAACTCTGTGAGTTGAATGCAATCATCACAGAGAAGTTTCTGAGAAGGCTTCTCTCCAGTTTTTATGTGACCATAATTCGTTTTCCACCACAGGCCTGAAAGCGCTCCAAATGTCCACTTGCAGACACTACGAAAAGCATGTTTCAGAACTACTCTATGAAAAGCAACGTGAAACTCTGGGAGTTGAACACAAACATCACAGAGAAGTTTCTGAGAATGCTTCTGTTTTAGTTCTGTGCGTTTTATCCCGTTTCCAACGAAATCCTCAGAGAGGCCCAAATATCCACTTGCAGATTCCACAGAAAGAGTGATTGGAAACTGCTGTTTGAAAAGGAACCTTCAACTCTGTGAGTTGAATGCAATCATCACAAAGAAGTTTCTGACAATGCTTCTATCTAGCTTTTACGGGAAGATAATTCCTTTTCCACCACAGGCCTCAAAGCCCTCCAAATGTCCACTTGCAGATTCTGGAAAAAGAGTGTTTCAAAGCTTCTCTCTCGAAAGGAAAGTTCAACTCTGTGAGTTGAATGCAAGCATCACAAAGAAGTTTCTGAGAATGCTACTGTCTAGCTTTTATATGAAGCTATTTCCTTTACTACCATAGGCCTCAAAGCGGTCCATATCTCCACTTGCAGATTCTACACAAAGAGAGTTTCCAAACTGCTCTGTCAAAGGGAATGTTCAACTCTGTGACTTGAATGCAATCATCACAAAGTAGTTTCTGAGAATGCTTCTGTTTAGTTCTGTGCGGTTTATCCCGTTTCCAACGAAATCCTCAGAGAGGCCCAAATATCCACTTGCACATTCTACAAATAGTGTGTTTCGAAACTGCTCCATCCAAAGGAATGTTCAGCTCTGTGAGTTAAACTCAGTCGTCACCAAGAGTTTTCTGTGAATGCTTCTGTTTTAGTTCTGTGCGGGTTATCCCGTTTCCAACGAAATCCTCAGAGAGGTCCAAATATCTACTTGCAGTTTCTACAGAAAGACCGTTTCAAACCTGAACTATCAAAGAAAGGTTCAACACTGTGAGTTGAATGCAAACATCACGAAGAAGGTTCTGAGAATGCTTCTGTTTAGTTCTGTGCGGTTTATCCCGTTTCCAACGAAATCCTCAGAGAGGACCAAATATCCACTTGCAGTTTCTACAAGAAGAGTGTTTCAAAGCTGAACTATCAAAGAAAGGTTCAGCACTGTGAGTTGAATGCAAACATCACGAAGAGGGTTCTGAGAATGCTTCTGTCTTCTTTTTATAGGAAGTTATTTCTTTTGCTACGGTAGGCCTCAAAGAAGTGCAATTATCCCCTTGCAGTTTCTACAAAAAGAGTGTTTCAAACCTGAACTATCAAAGAAAGGTTCCACACTGTGAGTTGAATGCAGACATCACGAAGAAGGTTCTGAGAATGCTTCTGTTTAGTCAGCTGAAATTATCCCGTTTCCAACGAATTCCTCACAGAGGTCCAAATATGCACTTGCAGATTCTGCAGAAAGTGTGTTTCTAAACTGCTACATCGCAAGGAATGCTCAGCTCTGTGAGTTCAACTCAATCATCCCAAAGAATTTTCTGAGAAAGCTTCTGTCTAGATGTCGTGTGAAGATATACCCGTTTCGAACGAAGGACACAGAGTGGTCCAAATATCCACTTGTAGATCCTGCAAAAAGAGTGTTTCAAACGTGAACTTTGAAAGGAAAGTTCAACTCTGGGATTTGAATGCAAACATCACAAAGAAGATTCTGAGACTGCTTCTGTATAGTTTTTATGTGAAGATGATTCCGTTTCCAACGAAATCTTCAAAGAGGTCTACATGTCCCCTTGCAGATGCCACAGAAAGAGAGTTTCAAAACTGCGCTCTCAAAAGGAGTGTTCAACTCCGTGAGTTGAATGCAGTCATCACAGAGAAGCTTCTGAGAATGCTTCTATCTAGTATTTAGGTGAAGATATTTCCTTTTCCACCACAAACCACAAAGCCCTCCAAACGTCCACTTGCAGATTCTAGAAAAAGAGTGTTTCATAGCTGCTCTTTCCAAAGGAAAGTTCAACTCTGGGAGTTGAATACAAACATCACCAAAAAGTTCCTGAGAATGCATCTGTCTAGTTTTTCTATGAAGCTATTCCCTTTACTACCACAGGCCTCAAAGCGCTCCAAATCTCCACTTGCACATTCCGCAACAAGAGTGTTTCCAAACTGCTCTATCAATAGGAATGTTCAACTCTGTGAGGTGAATGCAATCATCACAAAGCAGTTTCTGAGAATGCTTCCGTTTAGTTAGGTGCAGTTATCCCGTTTCCAACGAAATCCTCAGAGAGGTCCAAATATCCACTTGTAGATTCTACAAAAAGTGTGTCTCAAACCTGCTCCATCCAAAGGAATGTTCAGCTCTGTGAGTTCAACTCAATCATCACAAAGTATTTTCTGAGAATGCTTCTGTCTAGATTTTATGCGAAGATATACCCGTTTTGAACGAATGCCACAGAGTGGTCCAAATAGCCACTTGCAGATCCTACAAAAAGAGTGTTTCAAACCTGAACTATCAAAGGAAGGTTCAACTCTGGGATTTGAATGCAAACATCACCAAGAAGTTTCTGAGAATCCTTCTGTTTAGTTTTTATGTGAAGATATTCCCGTTTCCAAAGACATCTTCGGAGAGGTCCACATATCCACTTGCAGGTTCCACAAAAAGAGAGTTTCAACACTGCTCTATCCATAGGAGGGTTCAACTCTGTGAGTTGAATGCAATCATCACAGAGAAGTTTCTGAGAAGGCTTCTCTCCAGTTTTTATGTGACCATAATTCGTTTTCCACCACAGGCCTGAAAGCGCTCCAAATGTCCACTTGTAGACACTACGAAAAGCATGTTTCAGAACTACTCTATGAAAAGCAATGTGAAACTCTGGGAGTTGAACACAAACATCACAGAGAAGTTTCTGAGAATGCTTCTGTTGAGCTTTTCTGTGAAGATTCTCCCGTTTCCAACGAAATCTTCAAAGAGGTCGAAATATCCACTTGCAGATTCCACAGAAAGAGTGATTGGAAACTGCTGTTTGAAAAGGAACCTTCAACTCTGTGAGTTGAATGCAATCATCACAAAGAAGTTTCTGACAATGCTTCTATCTAGCTTTTACGGGAAGATAATTCCTTTTCCACCACAGGCCTCAAAGCCCTCCAAATGTCCACTTGCAGATTCTGGAAAAAGAGTGTTTCAAAGCTTCTCTCTCGAAAGGAATGTTCAACTCTGTGAGTTGAATGCAAGCATCACAAAGAAGTTTCTGAGAATGCTACTGTCTAGCGTTTATATGAAGCTATTCCCTTTACTACCATAGTCCTCAAAGCATTCCATATCTCCACTTGCAGATTCTACACAAAGAGAGTTTCCAAACTGCTCCGTCAAAGGGAATGTTCAGCTCTGTGACTTGAATGCAATCATCACAAAGTAGTTTCTGAGAATGCTTCTGTTTTAGTTCTCTGCAGTATATCCCGTTTCCAACGAAATCCTCAGAGAGGCCCAAATATCCACCTGCAGATTCTACAAAGAGTGTGTTTCGAAACTGCTCCATCCAAGGGAATATTCAGCTCTGTGAGTTAAACTCAGTCGTCACCAAGAGTTTTCTGTGAATGCTTCTGTTTTAGTTCTGTGCGGGTTATCCCGTTTCCAACGAAATCCTCAGAGAGGTCCAAATATCTAGTTGCAGTTTCTACAGAAAGACCGTTTGAAACCTGAACTATCAAAGAAAGGTTCAACACTGTGAGTTGAATGCAAACATCACGAAGAAGGTTCTGAGAATGCTTCTGTTTTAGTTCTGTGCGGTTTATCCCGTTTCCAACGAAATCCTCAGAGAGGACCAAACATCCACTTGCAGTTTCTACAAAAAGAGTGTTTCAAAGCTGCACTATCAAAGAAAGGTTCAGCACTGTGAGTTGAATGCAAACATCACGAAGAGGGCTCTGAGAATTCTTCTGTCTTCTTTTTATAGGAAGTTATTTCCTTTACTACGGTACTCCTCAAAGAGTGCAATTATCCCCTTGCAGTTTCTACAGAAAGAGTGTTTCAAACCTGAACTATCAAAGAAAGGTTCCACACTGTGAGTTGAATGCAGACATCACGAAGAAGGTTCTGAGAATGCTTCTGTTTAGTCAGCTGAAATTATCCCGTTTCCAACGAATTCCTCACAGAGGTCCAAATATGCACTTGCAGATTCTGCAGAAAGTGTGTTTCTAAACTGCTACATCGCAAGGAAATGCTCAGCTCTGTGAGTTCAACTCAATCATCCCAAAGAATTTTCTGAGAAAGCTTCTGTCTAGATGTCATGTGAAGATATACCCGTTTCGAACGAAGGACACAGAGTGGTCCAAATATCCACTTGTAGATCCTGCAAAAAGAGTGTTTCAAACGTGAACTTTGAAAGGCAAGTTCAACTCTGGGATTTGAATGCAAACATCACAAAGAAGATTCTGAGACTGCTTCTGTATAGTTTTTATGTGAAGATGATTCCGTTTCCAACGAAATCTTCAAAGAGGTCCACATGTCCCCTTGCGGATGCCACAGAAAGAGAGTTTCAAAACTGCGCTCTCAAAAGGAGTGTTCAACTCCGTGAGTTGAATGCAGTCATCACAGAGAAGCTTCTGAGAATGCTTCTATCTAGTATTTAGGTGAAGATATTTCCTTTTCCACCACAAACCACAAACCCCTCCAAACGTCCACTTGCAGATTCTAGAAAAAGAGTGTTTCATAGCTGCTCTTTCCAAAGGAAAGTTCAACTCTGGGAGTTGAATACAAACATCACCAAAAAGTTCCTGAGAATGCATCTGTCTAGTTTTTCTCTGAAGCTATTCCCTTTACTACCATAGGCCTCAAAGCGCTCCAAATCTCCACTTGCACATTCCACAACAAGAGTGTTTCCAAACTGCTCTATCAATAGGAATGTTCAACTCTGTGAGGTGAATGCAATCATCACAAAGCAGTTTCTGAGAATGCTTCCGTTTAGTTAGGTGCAGTTATCTCGTTTCCAACGAAATCCTCAGAGAGGTCCAAATATCCACTTGTAGATTCTACAAAAAGTGTGTCTCAAGCCTGCTCCATCCAAAGGAATGTTCAGCTCTGTGAGTTAAACTCAATCATCACAAAGTATTTTCTGAGAATGCTTCTGTCTAGATTTTATGCGAAGATGTACCCGTTTCGAACGAAGGCCACAGAGTGGTCCAAATATCCACTTGCAGATCCTACAAAAAGAGTGTTTCAAACCTGAACTATCAAAGGAAGGTTCAACTCTGGGATTTGAATGCAAACATCACCAAGAAGTTTCTGAGAATGCTTCTGTTTAGTTTTTATGTGAAGATAGTCCCCTTTCCAAAGACATCTTCGGAGAGGTCCACATATCCACTTGCAGATTCCACAAAAAGAGAGTTTCAACACTGCTCTATCCATAGTAGGGTTCAACTCTGTGAGTTGAATGCAATCATCACAGAGAAGTTTCTGAGAAGGCTTCTCTCCAGTTTTTATGTGACCATAATTCGTTTTCCACCACAGGCCTGAAAGCGCTCCAAATGTCCACTTGCAGACACTGCGAAAAGCTCGTTTCAGAACTACTCTATGAAAAGCAATGTGACACTCTGGGAGTTGAACACAAACATCACGGAGAAGTTTCTGAGAATGCTTCTGTTTAGCTTTTCTGTGAAGATTATCCCGTTTCCAACGAAATCTTCAAAGAGGTCCAAATATCCACTTGCAGATTCCACAGAAAGAGTGTTTGGAAACTGCTGTTTGAAAAGCAACCTTCAACTCTGTGAGTTGAATGCAATCATCACAAAGAAGTTTCTGACAATGCTTCTATCTAGCTTTTACGGGAAGATAATTCCTTTTCCACCACAGGCCTCAAAGCCCTCCAAATGTCCACTTGCAGATTCAGGAAAAAGAGTGTTTCAAAGCTTCTCTCTCGAAAGGAAAGTTCAACTCAGTGAGTTGAATGCAAGCATCACAAAGAAGTTTCTGAGAATGCTACTGTCTAGCTTTTATATGAAGCTATTTCCTTTACTACCATAGGCCTCAAAGCGGTCCATATCTCCACTTGCAGATCCTACACAAAGAGAGTTTCCAAACTGCTCTGTCAAAGGGAATGTTCAACTCTGTGACTTGAATGCAATCATCACAAAGTAGTTTCTGAGAATGCTTTCTGTTTTAGTTCTGTGCGGTTTATCCCATTTCCAACGAAATCCTCAGAGAGGCCCAAATATCCACTTGCAGATTCTACAAAGAGTGTGTTTCGAAACTGCTCCATCCAAAGGAATGTTCAGCTCTGTGAGTTAAACTCAGTCGTCACCAAGAGTTTTCTGTGAATGCTTCTGTTTTAGTTCTGTGCGGTTTATCCCGTTTCCAACGAAATCCTCAGAGAGGTCCAAATATCTACTTGCAGTTTCTACAGAAAGACCGTTTCCAACCTGAACTATCAAAGAAAGGTTCAACACTGTGAGTTGAATGCAAACATCACGAAGAAGGTTCTGAGAATGCTTCTGTTTTAGTTCTGTGCGGTTTATCCCGTTTCCAACGAAATCCTCAGAGAGGACCAAACATCCACTTGCAGTTTCTACAAAAAGAGTGTTTCAAAGCTGCACTATCAAAGAAAGGTTCAGCACTGTGAGTTGAATGCAAACATCACGAAGAGGGCTCTGAGAATTCTTCTGTCTTCTTTTTATAGGAAGTTATTTCCTTTACTACGGTACTCCTCAAAGAGTGCAATGATCCCCTTGCAGTTTCTACAAAAAGAGTGTTTCAAACCTGAACTATCAAAGAAAGGTTCCACACTGTGAGTTGAATGCAGACATCACGAAGAAGGTTCTGAGAATGCTTCTGTTTAGTCAGCTGAAATTATCCCGTTTCCAACGAATACCTCAGAGAGGTCCACATATGCACTTGCAGATTCTGCAGAAAGTGTGTTTCTAAACTGCTACATCGCAAGGAGTGTTCAGCTCTGTTTGCTCAACTCAATCATCCCAAAGAATTTTCTGAGAAAGCTTCTGTCTAGATGTCATGTGAAGATATACCCGTTTCGAACGAAGGACACAGAGTGGTCCAAATATCCACTTGTAGATCCTGCAAAAAGAGTGTTTCAAACGTGAACTTTGAAAGGAAAGTTCAACTCTGGGATTTGAATGCAAACATCACAAAGAAGATTCTGAGACTGCTTCTGTATAGTTTTTATGTGAAGATGATTCCGTTTCCAACGAAATCTTCAAAGAGGTCTACATGTCCCCTTGCAGATGCCACAGAAACAGAGTTTCAAAACTGCGCTCTCAAAAGGAGTGTTCAACTCCATGAGTTGAATGCAGTAATCACAGAGAAGCTTCTGAGAATGCTTCTATCTAGTATTTAGGTGAAGATATTTCCTTTTCCACCACAAACCACAAAGCCCTCCAAACGTCCACTTGCAGATTCTAGAAAAAGAGTGTTTCATAGCTGCTCTTTCCAAAGGAAAGTTCAACTCTGGGAGTTGAATACAAACATCACCAAAAAGTTCCTGAGAATGCATCTGTCTAGTTTTTCTATGAAGTTATTCCCTTTACTACCATAGGCCTCAAAGCGCTCCAAATCTCCACTTGCACATTCCACAACAGGAGTGTTTCCAAACTGCTCTATCAATAGGAATGTTCAACTCTGTGAGGTGAATGCAATCATCACAAAGCAGTTTCTGAGAATGCTTCCGTTTAGTTAGGTGCAGTTATCCCGTTTCCAACGAAATCCTCAGAGAGGTCCAAATATCCACTTGTAGATTTTACAAAAAGTGTGTCTCAAACCTGCTCCATCCAAAGGAATGTTCAGATCTGTGAGTTAAACTCAATCATCACAAAGTATTTTCTGAGAATGCTTCTGTCTAGATTTTATGCGAAGATGTACCCGTTTCGAACGAAGGCCACAGAGTGGTCCAAATATCCACTTGCAGATCCTACAAAAAGAGTGTTTCAAACCTGAACTATCAAAGGAAGGTTCAACTCTGGGATTTGAATGCAAACATCACCAAGAAGTTTCTGAGAATGCTTCTGTTTAGTTTTTATGTGAAGATAGTCCCGTTTCCAAAGACATCTTCGGAGAGGTCCACATATCCACTTGCAGATTCCACACAAAGAGAGTTTCAACACTGCTCTATCCATAGGTGAGTTCAACTCTGTGAGTTGAATGCAATCATCACAGAGAAGTTTCTGAGAAGGCTTCTCTCCAGTTTTTATGTGACCATAATTCGTTTTCCACCACAGGCCTGAAAGCGCTCCAAATGTCCCCTTGCAGACACTACGAAAAGCATGTTTCAGAACTACTCTATGAGAAGCAATGTGACACTCTGGGAGTTGAACACAAACATCACAGAGAAGTTTCTGAGAATGCTTCTGTTTACCTTTTCTGTGAAGATTATCCCTTTTCCAACGAAATCTTCAAAGAGGTCCAAATATCCACTTGCAGATTCCACAGAAAGAGTGTTTGGAAACTGCTGTTGGAAAAGCAACCTTCAACTCTGTGAGTTGAATGCAATCATCACAAAGAAGTTTCTGACAATGCTTCTATCTAGCTTTTACGGGAAGATAATTCCTTTTCCACCACAGGCCTCAAAGCCCTCCAAATGTCCACTTGCAGATTCTGGAAAAAGAGTGTTTCAAAGCTTCTCTCTCGAAAGGAAAGTTCAACTCTGTGAGTTGAATGCAAGCATCACAAAGAAGTTTCTGAGAATGCTACTGTCTAGCTTTTATATGAAGCTATTTCCTTTACTACCATAGGCCTCAAAGCGGTCCATATCTCCACTTGCAGATTCTACACAAAGAGAGTTTCCAAACTGCTCTGTCAAAGGGAATGTTCAACTCTGTGACTTGAATGCAATCATCACAAAGTAGTTTCTGAGAATGCTTCTGTTTAGTTCTGTGCGGTTTATCCCGTTTCCAACGAAATCCTCAGAGAGGTCCAAATATCCACTTGCACATTCTACAAATAGTGTGTTTCGAAACTGCTCCATCCAAAGGAATGTTCAGCTCTGTGAGTTAAACTCAGTCGTCACCAAGAGTTTTCTGTGAATGCTTCTGTTTTAGTTCTGTGCGGTTTATCCCGTTTCCAACGAAATCCTCAGAGAGGTCCAAATATCTACTTGCAGTTTCTACAGAAAGACCGTTTCAAACCTGAACTATCAAAGAAAGGTTCAGCACTGTGAGTTGAATGCAAACATCACGAAGAAGGTTCTGAGAATGCTTCTGTTTAGTTCTGTGCGGTTTATCCCTTTTCCAAGGAAATCCTCAGAGAGGACCAAATATCCACTTGCAGTTTCTACAAGAAGAGTGTTTCAAAGCTGAACTATCAAAGAGAGGTTCAGCACTGTGAGTTGAATGCAAACACCACGAAGAGGGTTCTGAGAATGCTTCTGTCTTCTTTTTATAGGAAGTTATTTCCTTTACTACGGTACTCCTCAAAGAGTGCAATTATCCCCTTGCAGTTTCTACAAAAAGAGTGTTTCAAACCTGAACTATCAAAGAAAGGTTCCACACTGTGAGTTGAATGCAGACATCACGAAGAAGGTTCTGAGAATGCTTCTGTTTAGTCAGCTGAAATTATCCCGTTTCCAACGAATTCCTCAGAGAGGTCCACATATGCACTTGCAGATTCTGCAGAAAGTGTGTTTCTAAACTGCTACATCTCAAGGAATGTTCAGCTCTGTGAGTTCCACTCAATCATCCCAAAGAATTTTCTGAGAAAGCTTCTGTCTAGATGTCATGTGAAGATATACCCGTTTCGAACGGAGGACACAGAGTGGTCCAAATATCCACTTGTAGATCCTGCAAAAAGAGTGTTTCAAACGTGAACTTTGAAAGGAAAGTTCAACTCTGGGATTTGAATGCAAACATCACAAAGAAGATTCTGAGACTGCTTCTGTATAGTTTTTATGTGAAGATGATTCCGTTTCCAACGAAATCTTCAAAGAGGTCTACATGTCCCCTTGCAGATGCCACAGAAAGAGAGTTTCAAAACTACGCTCTCAAAAGGAGTGTTCAACTCCGTGAGTTGAATGCAGTCATCACAGAGAAGCTTCTGAGAATGCTTCTATCTAGTATTTAGGTGAAGATATTTCCTTTTCCACCACAAACCACAAAGCCCTCCAAACGTCCACTTGCAGATTCTAGAAAAAGAGTGTTTCATAGCTGCTCTTTCCAAAGGAAAGTTCAACTCTGGGAGTTGAATACAAACATCACCAAAAAGTTCCTGAGAATGCATCTGTCTAGTTTTTCTATGAAGCTATTCCCTTTACTACCATAGGCCTCAAAGCGCTCCAAATCTCCACTTGCACATTCCACAACAAGAGTGTTTCCAAACTGCTCTATCAATAGGAATGTTCAACTCTGTGAGGTGAATGCAATCATCACAAAGCAGTTTCTGAGAATGCTTCCGTTTAGTTAGGTGCAGTTATCCCGTTTCCAACGAAATCCTCAGAGAGGTCCAAATATCCACTTGTAGATTCTACAAAAAGTGTGTCTCAAACCTGCTCCATCCAAAGGAATGTTCAGCTCTGTGAGTTAAACTCAATCATCACAAAGTATTTTCTGAGAATGCTTCTGTCTAGATTTTATGCGAAGATATACCCGTTTCGAACGAAGGCCACAGAGTGGTCCAAATATCCACTTGCAGATCCTACAAAAAGAGTGTTTCAAACCTGAACTATCAAAGGAAGGTTCGACTCTGGGATTTGAATGCAAACATCACCAAGAAGTTTCTGAGAATGCTTCTGTTTAGTTTTTATGTGAAGATATTCCCGTTTCCAAAGACATCTTCGGAGAGGTCCACATATCCACTTGCAGATTCCACAAAAAGAGAGTTTCAACACTGCTCTATCCATAGGAGGGTTCAACTCTGTGAGTTGAATGCAATCATCACAGAGAAGTTTCTGAGAAGGCTTCTCTCCAGTTTTTATGTGACCATAATTCGTTTTCCACCACAGGCCTGAAAGCGCTCCAAATGTCCACTTGCAGACACTACGAAAAGCATGTTTCAGAACTACTCTATGAAAAGCAACGTGAAACTCTGGGAGTTGAACACAAACATCACAGAGAAGTTTCTGAGAATGCTTCTGTTTTAGTTCTGTGCGTTTTATCCCGTTTCCAACGAAATCCTCAGAGAGGCCCAAATATCCACTTGCAGATTCCACAGAAAGAGTGATTGGAAACTGCTGTTTGAAAAGGAACCTTCAACTCTGTGAGTTGAATGCAATCATCACAAAGAAGTTTCTGACAATGCTTCTATCTAGCTTTTACGGGAAGATAATTCCTTTCCCTCCACAGGCCTCAAAGCTCCCCAAATGTCCACTTGCACATTCTGGAAAAAGAGTGTTTCAAAGCTTCTCTCTCGAAAGGAAAGTTCAACTCTGTGAGTTGAATGCAAGCATCACAAAGAAGTTTCTGAGAATGCTAATGTCTAGCTTTTATATGAAGCTATTTCCTTTACTACCATAGGCCTCAAAGCGGTCCATATCTCCACTTGCAGATTCTACACAAAGAGAGTTTCCAAACTGCTCTGTCAAAGGGAATGTTCAACTCTGTGACTTGATTGCAATCATAACAAAGTAGTTTCTGAGAATGCTTCTGTTTTAGTTCTGTGCGTTTTATCCCGTTTCCAACGAAATCCTCAGAGAGGCCCAAATATCCACTTGCAGATTCTACAAATAGTGTGTTTCGAAACTGCTCCATCCAAAGGAATGTTCAGCTCTGTGAGTTAAACTCAGTCGTCACCAAGAGTTTTCTGTGAATGCTTCTGTTTTAGTTCTGTGCGGTTTATCCCGTTTCCAACGAAATCCTCAGAGAGGACCAAATATCCACTTGCAGTTTCTACAAAAAGAGTGTTTCAAAGCTGCACTATCAAAGAAAGGTTCAGCACTGTGAGTTGAATGCAAACATCACGAAGAGGGCTCTGAGAGTTCTTCTGTCTTCTTTTTATAGGAAGTTATTTCCATTACTACGGTAGGCCTCAAAGAAGTGCAATTATCCCCTTGCAGTTTCCACAAAAAGAGTGTTTCAAACCTGAACTATCAAAGAAAGGTTCCACACTGTGAGTTGAATGCAGACATCACGAAGAAGGTTCTGAGAATGCTTCTGTTTAGTCAGCTGAAATTATCCCGTTTCCAACGAATTCCTCAGAGAGGTCCAAATATGCACTTGCAGATTCTGCAGAAAGTGTGTTTCTAAACTGCTCCATCGCAAGGAATGTTCAGCTCTGTGAGTTCAACTCAATCATCCCAAAGAATTTTCTGAGAAAGCTTCTGTCTAGATGTCATGTGAAGATATACCCGTTTCGAACGAAGGACACAGAGTGGTCCAAATATCCACTTGTAGATCCTGCAAAAAGAGTGTTTCAAACGTGAACTTTGAAAGGCAAGTTCAACTCTGGGATTTGAATGCAAACATCACAAAGAAGATTCTGAGACTGCTTCTGTATAGATTTTATGTGAAGATGATTCCGTTTCCAATGAACTCTTCAAAGAGGTCTACATGTCCCCTTGCAGATGCCACAGAAAGAGAGTTTCAAAACTGCGCTCTCAAAAGGAGTGTTCAACTCCGTGAGTTGAATGCAGTCATCACAGAGAAGCTTCTGAGAATGCTTCTATCTAGTATTTAGGTGAAGATATTTCCTTTTCCACCACAAACCACAAAGCCCTCCAAACGTCCACTTGCAGATTCTAGAAAAAGAGTGTTTCATAGCTGCTCTTTCCAAAGGAAAGTTCAACTCTGGGAGTTGAATACAAACATCACCAAAAAGTTTCTGAGAATGCATCTGTCTAGTTTTTCTATGAAGCTATTCCCTTTACTACCATAGGCCTCAAAGCGCTCCAAATCTCCACTTGCACATTCCACAACAAGAGTGTTTCCAAACTGCTCTATCAATAGGAATGTTCAACTCTGTGAGGTGAATGCAATCATCACAAAGCAGTTTCTGAGAATGCTTCCGTTTAGTTAGGTGCAGTTATCCCGTTTCCAACGAAATCCTCAGAGAGGTCCAAATATCCACTTGTAGATTCTACAAAAAGTGTGTCTCAAACCTGCTCCATCCAAAGGAATGTTCAGCTCTGTGATTTAAACTCAATCATCACAAAGTATTTTCTGAGAATGCTTCTGTCTAGATTTTATGCGAAGATATACCCGTTTCGAACGAAGGCCACAGAGTGGTCCAAATAGCCACTTGCAGATCCTACAGAAAGAGTGTTTCAAACCTGAACTATCAAAGGAAGGTTCAACTCTGGGATTTGAATGCAAACATCACCAAGAAGTTTCTGAGAATGCTTCTGTTTAGTTTTTATGTGAAGATATTCCCGTTTCCAAAGACATCTTCGGAGAGGTCCACATATCCACTTGCAGATTCCACAAAAAGAGAGTTTCAACACTGCTCTATCCATAGGAGGGTTCAACTCTGTGAGTTGAATGCAATCATCACAGATAAGTTTCTGAGAAGGCTTCTCTCCAGTTTTTATGTGACCATAATTCGTTTTCCACCACAGGCCTGAAAGCGCTCCAAATGTCCACTTGCAGACACTACGAAAAGCATGTTTCAGAACTACTCTATGAAAAGCAACGTGAAACTCTGGGAGTTGAACACAAACATCACAGAGAAGTTTCTGAGAATGCTCTGTTTTAGTTCTGTGCGTTTTATCCCGTTTCCAACGAAATCCTCAGAGAGGCCCAAATATCCACTTGCAGATTCCACAGAAAGAGTGATTGGAAACTGCTGTTTGAAAAGGAACCTTCAACTCTGTGAGTTGAATGCAATCATCACAAAGAAGTTTCTGACAATGCTTCTATCTAGCTTTTACGGGAAGATAATTCCTTTTCCACCACAGGCCTCAAAGCTCCCCAAATGTCCACTTGCACATTCTGGAAAAAGAGTGTTTCAAATCTTCTCTCTCGAAAGGAAAGTTCAACTCTGTGAGTTGAATGCAAGCATCACAAAGACGTTTCTGAGAATGCTACTGTCTAGCTTTTATATGAAGCTATTTCCTTTACTACCATAGGCCTCAAAGCGGTCCATATCTCCACTTGCAGATTCTACACAAAGAGAGTTTCCAAACTGCTCTGTCAAAGGGAATGTTCAACTCTGTGACTTGAATGCAATCATCACAAAGTAGTTTCTGAGAATGCTTCTGTTTAGTTCTGTGCGGTTTATCCCGTTTCCAACGAAATCCTCAGAGAGGCCCAAATATCCACTTGCACATTCTACAAATAGTGTGTTTCGAAACTGCTCCATCCAAAGGAATGTTCAGCTCTGTGAGTTAAACTCAGTCGTCACCAAGAGTTTTCTGTGAATGCTTCTGTTTTAGTTCTGTGTGGGTTATCCCGTTTCCAACGAAATCCTCAGAGAGGTCCAAATATCTACTTGCAGTTTCTACAGAAAGACCGTTTCAAACCTGAACTATCAAAGAAAGGTTCAACACTGTGAGTTGAATGCAAACATCACGAAGAAGGTTCTGAGAATGCTTCTGTTTTAGTTCTGTGCGGTTTATCCCGTTTCCAACGAAATCCTCAGAGAGGACCAAACATCCACTTGCAGTTTCTACAAAAAGAGTGTTTCAAAGCTGCACTATCAAAGAAAGGTTCAGCACTGTGAGTTGAATGCAAACATCACGAAGAGGGCTCTGAGAATGCTTCTGTCTTCTTTCTATAGGAAGTTATTTCCTTTACTACGGTAGGCCTCAAAGAAGTGCAATTATCCCCTTGCAGTTTCTACAAAAAGAGTGTTTCAAACCTGAACTATCAAAGAAAGGTTCCACACTGTGAGTTGAATGCAGACAGCACGAAGAAGGTTCTGAGAATGCTTCTGTTTAGTCAGCTGAAATTATCCCGTTTCCAACGAATTCCTCAGAGAGGTCCAAATATGCACTTGCAGATTCTGCAGAAAGTGTGTTTCTAAACTGCTACATCGCAAGGAATGTTCAGCTCTGTGAGTTCCACTCAATCATCCCTAAGAATTTTCTGAGAAAGCTTCTGTCTAGATGTCGTGTGAAGATATACCCGTTTCGAACGAAGGACACAGAGTGGTCCAAATATCCACTTGTAGATCCTGCAAAAAGAGTGTTTCAAACGTGAACTTTGAAAGGAAAGTTCAACTCTGGGATTTGAATGCAAACATCACAAAGAAGATTCTGAGACTGTTTCTGTATAGTTTTTATGTGAAGATGATTCCGTTTCCAACGAAATCTTCAAAGAGGTCTACATGTCCCCTTGCAGATGCCACAGAAAGAGAGTTTCAAAACTGCGCTCTCAAAAGGAGTGTTCAACTCCGTGAGTTGAATGCAGTCATCACAGAGAAGCTTCTGAGAATGCTTCTATCTAGTATTTAGGTGAAGATATTTCCTTTTCCACCACAAACCACAAAGCCCTCCAAACGTCCACTTGCAGATTCTAGAAAAAGAGTGTTTCATAGCTGCTCTTTCCAAAGGAAAGTTCAACTCTGGGAGTTGAATACAAACATCACCAAAAAGTTCCTGAGAATGCATCTGTCTAGTTTTTCTATGAAGCTATTCCCTTTACTACCATAGGCCTCAAAGCGCTCCAAATCTCCACTTGCACATTCCACAACAAGAGTGTTTCCAAACTGCTCTATCAATAGGAATGTTCAACTCTGTGAGGTGAATGCAATCATCACAAAGCAGTTTCTGAGAATGCTTCCGTTTAGTTAGGTGCAGTTATCGCGTTTCCAACGAAATCCTCAGAGAGGTCCAAATATCCACTTGTAGATTCTACAAAAAGTGTGTCTCAAACCTGCTCCATCCAAAGGAATGTTCAGCTCTGTGAGTTAAACTCAATCATCACAAAGTATTTTCTGAGAATGCTTCTGTCTAGATTTTATGCGAAGATATACCCGTTTCGAACGAAGGCCACAGAGTGGTCCAAATAGCCACTTGCAGATCCTACAAAAAGAGTGTTTCAAACCTGAACTATCAAAGGAAGGTTCAACTCTGGGATTTGAATGCAAACATCACCAAGAAGTTTCTGAGAATGCTTCTGTTTAGTTTTTATGTGAAGATATTCCCGTTTCCAAAGACATCTTCGGAGAGGTCCACATATCCACTTGCAGATTCCACAAAAAGAGAGTTTCAACACTGCTCTATCCATAGGAGGGTTCAACTCTGTGAGTTCAATGCAATCATCACAGAGAAGTTTCTGAGAAGGCTTCTCTCCAGTTTTTATGTGACCATAATTCGTTTTCCACCACAGGCCTGAAAGCGCTCCAAATGTCCACTTGCAGACACTACGAAAAGCATGTTTCAGAACTACTCTATGAGAAGCAATGTGAAACTCTGGGAGTTGAACACAAACATCACAGAGAAGTTTCTGAGAATGCTTCTGTTTAGCTTTTCTGTGAAGATTCTCCCGTTTCCAACGAAATCTTCAAAGAGGTCCAAATATCCACTTGCAGATTCCACAGAAAGAGTGATTGGAAACTGCTCTTTGAAAAGG